>NC_000021.9:46546087-46699983 GCF_000001405.40 Homo sapiens
GCGCTGACCTCCCTGCCCATCACCCTACCTGTGTGCAGGGCCATCCACACCTCCGAGACTGGTGCACAGTCCTGCACACAGGCCTGAGTCGGGGGTCCCCGGGGTGGATGAGGATGTTTTGCTTTTTATATGGAGTGGCAGGTTTGTGAGTATTCATTATATCATTCTTTACCATTTTGGATGTCTAAACTATTCAAAAATAAATGCTTCTATTTGTAACATCTTGGCCCAGTGTTTCTCTCAACTGGGCAATTTTGCCCCTTCCCTCCCAGGGGACTTCTGGCAACTTTTGAAGACATTTTTGCTTGTCACAACTCAAGGGAGGGGAGTGCTCCTGGCATCTAGTGAGTACCTAGAGGCCAGAGATGCTGCTCAGTGTCCAACCTAAGCACAGGACAGCACCTGCGATGGTATTGTCAGCCCAGAAGGTCCCTGGTGCCGGGTTTGGGACCCCTGCCCTTAGCTCAGCAGTTTTCAGTCCTTCACAAACTCCACCCACAACTCGTTTCCCACTTGTGAGCCTTTCCCATGCTGACGCTGCCCCAGCAGCCCCACTTTCTTTCACATAGCCTGCCCCTTTCCCATGTTGCCTCCCTTCCTGATGCTGCCCCACCAGCCCCCATTCCTTCCACACAGCCTGCCCCTGTTCCAGGCCTAGCTTGTCACAGGGCCTGCGTTGCAGATTGGGTCTGTGGGGCATTGACCCGTTTGCAAGGCGCTAGAGGCTCCTGTGCTGTTGGCCCCTTCTTGGGGGGCCTGACCATGGTCCTGGCGCATCCAGCTTCTGCCCGTGTGGGTGGAGTCTTGACGCACACCCTTTCCCTCAGGACAACCTGGTCTTCATCGTGGGCAAACTGGACGGGCTGATGGTCACTGGAGTTCGCAGACACAATGCAGATGACGTTGTGGCCACCGCACTGGCCGTGGAGCCCATGAAGTTTGTCTACAGAGGCAGGTGATGCGCTGCGGACCCCCACGCCGGGAGTAGATTCCTTCATTTGCAGCTCGGGAAGTCTTTGTGCAGTAGATGGAAAGCCCAGCAAACTTGAATTCACAAAGCCTAAAAATTGTTGTACATCAGAAAACTCCTAAAGTAAAAGGAAAATATTTGCAGCAATGATACCAGAGTTAATATCCTTACTGTCCAAAGAGTTCCTTGGATTCCTTAAGAAAATAAGGTTTTGATGTAAAATTTGGGGCAAAGGCTCAAGGGGACAAATCAGGGAGGGAAGAATTGAGTAAAGCAAAGGAGAAATGGGTCTAAGTTCCTAATAACCTTGGAATGTGAATTAAAACAGAAAAGTGCCATTTTCTCTGCGAGACACATGACACCCTCCATTGCCTCTGGAATAAAAATCAACTCAACTTTTCTACATGTGTAAAGCAAGGACCTTAGAGATTCTCTTGAGCAAATAATAGACCTCTGGGCCTATGCCCCTGGGCACAGGGGCCAGGAAGAGAATTTTGCTTCTTCTACTCCCAAGCTCCTTGTCTGGGAGGAAGCTCTTCCCCTAACTGGTCCACTCAACCAGCTGCCTTTTTAAATTTTATTTTTCTCAAGGGGGTGCCTTTTTTTTTTTTTTTTTTTTTTTTTTAAAGATAGGGTCTCACTCTGTTGCCCATCCAGGCTGGAGTGCAGTAGTGTGACCATAACTCACTGGAGCCTCTACCTCCTGGGCTTCAAGCAGTCCTCTTACCGCACCTCCTGAGCAGCTGGGACCACAGACATGCACCCCACGCCTGGCTAATTTTTTAATTTTTTTGTAGAGATAGGGTCTCACTATGTTGCTCAAGCTGCTCTCGAACTCCTGGGCTCAAGCAATCCTCCCTCCTTGGCCTCCCAAACTGCTGGGATTACAGGTGTCAGCCAATGTGCCTGGCCAAGGATGTGCCTTTTGTTACTCAAACTAAGGTACTTGGGAGCCAGGTCAGACCCTGCCTTTGAGTAGCCCTTAAAGCAATCGTGAGGGGATTCTGCAAAGTGGTGTGTCATCATGGTTAGTCTTGAGGAAAAAGCCCAGAGGATGGACAACAGAGAAGGTGGGAGATTGCTCAGGGGGCTGGGAAGGGCAGGCTGTGCTCATGCATGTGTGCGTGTGTGTGTGTGTGTGTGTGTGTGTGTTTGTGTGCGCCTGCGTGCAGGGGGAGGGTGGCACAGCCAGGGTCATGACCCCCCTCACAGCAGAAATGGGGGACACATTGGGCAGGTGTCCTTAGGGATAACATCAAGGTAGCCCAAACCCTGCTTTGAGGTGGAGCAGGGAGACCACCCCCTCGCAGGGCCACCTGTACCTGATGGTGACTGCGTCTGCAGGCAGGATAGCCTCCCTGTCCCCACTAGGGAAGAGCTGAGGAATACAGGAGCTTGGAAGTGGAACCACAACCAATTGAGAGTATATGTGCCATTGGAAGAAGAGCAATAGAAGATTTGCAACATGAACTAAGATCAAGAAATGCTAACAAAGTAATTGTTCAAAGAACACAGTAGATGGAATACATAAAATGGATACAGCTAGAGAACAAGTAGAGAAGGTGGAAAGTCAGATTAGGGAACTACTCTGGAAGTAAAATAGGAACTTTAAAGGAACTATTAAGAGAGATGGGAGAGAATAAGGGCTGGTGTCCAGATAGCAGACTCAAGGAGAAGGGATATGTTTAGTGGTGGTTAGGGATTGTCTGAGGAAGCAGGTGGTTGGGGTTCTCTGGACTGGGAAGTGGTCCACAGAGGGCCCCATGGCATGTTGAGCTTATCTGTATTCTCACCATGGACCACACAAAAGCCAAGCAAAACACATCAGACTTCCCCACAGTGGAACTGGCACAAGATAACAGTGCACCCAATTTATCCAAATTGTCACTTTATTGTGCAGTTGTAATAAAAAATATTTTTAAGCATGTAAGTTTCAGAAGTTTTAACACACAGAGGTCCGTACTGAAAACAGTTTTGGTCAAGATACTAAGAGAAATAAATTCAAGATGTGCTATAAGATGTATGAGAGTAAGGAGAACTCAGTACTAGGTGAGGTCTGTTGTGTAAATTGTGTGTGTGTGTGTGTACACACACACCAGTCAAGTCAAAGGAAAGGACAAGAGACGGTATATCCATAATGTCCCAGAGTCAGAATGGTAGACATCCTAACATGATGGGTTTGGTGGGGAGACCATCTTCTTACTTTATGAAAGAAAAGACAAAGATATCAACTCAAAGTCTAAAAGAAGGAAAAGGCAACACAGAAAAAAGGAGGACATGTTGAAATTTTTAAGATAGTAAAAACACGTCTAAATATACTAATCACTATAAATGTCAATAGACTAACTCTAGTAAAATAGAGATGCGATCTGTTGGATTAAAAAAATATAATAAATAGAACTTTTAGACAAAGATTTGTGCAGAAGGAAATTTACATCAGATTAAGGAATTTTTTCTTGTAAAAATGTGTGTCTTTGGAGCTGTTTTGCTTTGTCCTGAAGTCCTCTGTTTTTTGTGACTTGAGACACATTTCAACCATCCTCGAGGAGATTAGAATGATGAGTTACTTTTTGAATGTGCAGCAGGTAGCCCCATTTGATAGACTGCATTTTAAATACTAGGACAGTCTGCCTCTTCCATCGTGAGGGTGAGAATGCATCTGTGTCTTGTTTGGCCTCTTGCCGTGTGGCCATTTCCATGTCTCATCCCGCAGGATCGCTGTGTTCTCTGTGACCGTGCTGCACGACGACCGGATTGTCCTGGTGGCTGAGCAGCGGCCGGATGCCTCGGAGGAGGACAGCTTCCAGTGGATGAGCCGTGTGCTGCAGGTGGGCGCCCCGGCACGGCCTATGGTTCGGTGAATCTCCCAAGCTGGCACCCCCACTCCACTCCAAGTGCCAAGTGGTTGGCTTGTCCCGCCCGGTCCTCCCTGGCTCCAGCTTTGTTTATCTGTATTTTTCATTGCAAATTGACAAATTACAGCTGTATGTATTTACGGGATACAAAGTGATGTTATAATTTATGAATACAATATAGAATAATTAATATATCCATCACCTCAATATTTATTTTTTTCTGATGAGAACATTTGAAATGCACTCTCACAGTGATTTTGAAATGTACATTATTATATTCACCAGTCTGTGCAATATATCTCAAAGAAAAAACTTTCCTCCTCCTGTCTAATTGAGGCTTTGTGCCCTTTCACCATCATCTCCTCATTGCCCCATCCCTCAGCCTCTGATCACAGATTTGTGGACATGTGTACACAAATACAGTGTGTGTGTTTCCCCTTTCTGAGTTAAATGGTAGAAAACTGCACACACTTCTCTTCATCTTGTTTCCTCATTTAACAAAGTGTCCAGAGGGCATTCCATTTCCTGGCCTGGGGAACAGGTCCACAGAGGGGATGTTCCTGTCCCCCACCCAGCATCTCCCCAGCCTCAAGTTGGGGGCCTGTGCCAAACAGGGTCCTTCCCTTTCAGGCCATTGATAGCATCCACCAGGTGGGCGTGTACTGTCTGGCCCTGGTTCCTGCCAACACCTTGCCCAAGGCTCCTCTCGGAGGGATTCACATTTCTGAAACCAAACAGCGCTTTCTGGAAGGGACGCTGCACCCGTGTAATGTGCTGATGTGCCCTCACACCTGTGTTACCAACCTCCCCAAACCTCGTCAGAAACAACCAGGTTAGTTGAACCTAACAACAGGATGCTCTCTAGTCTAACAGTGGTAACAGCGGTGCTTGTGGTTAGGGTGCGGCCCTGCTAGACCTCCAGTGCCAACTGCCCACGTCTTTGGGGCTGGGGTCAAGAGCCAGAGCGAGTGTGCACCCCAGAATGGTGCCACCTCCCGCCTTCCTGGAACCAGCCACGCATGGGGGAACTTAACCACATCACCTGCATGGTGGTTTCCACCTGCCTGTTAGGAACCAATTTTAATGATAAACTCAAGGATGGCATCTTAGCTTTGCATGGCTAGGAGATGGCTCCCTAGGGCTAGAAATGCTGCCCAGGATCATCCTGGAGCTGGACGAGCTGGACACATCACATCACCCAGTGTCTGTGTGGCCTCGGAAATCTCTCAGCAAACGGCCAACTTGCCTTCCCTCATTTTATACATTTAAAAGCTAATTTTAGAGACTGGTTTAACTTTAATGCAATTTTTCATTTCTTTGGTCCTGTTGATTTTTAGTACATGCCAAAGTTTTTTTTTATTAATTATTGAACACATATCACTAAATACATTTCATCAGGAAGATTTAATTTCCTGATTTATACATAAAGTACAGTAAAACAAAATATGTTAAGAATTTTGCTGTGACTGAGGCCAAATCGTATCCTCTGAGATGCGTCGTGTAGTAAACTTCTCAATAAGGCGTAGTTTATGTTCAAGAGAGAAATTCTCTTTGTCACTTAGCATAAACCTTGTAGCTAGCTTTCTGAATATTTGTATCTCAGTAGAAGAGTTAAATGCCTCATTCAAGTATGTTTTCAAAATAAAAATTGTAAATAAAATCACGTGATGTTTATATATGAGAAGTCACCAGCTTTTCATTCAGAGTTCCCCCGTTTCTAGAGGTTGGACCAGCCTCAATGATCGTGGGGAACCTGGTTGCTGGGAAGAGAATCGCTCAGGCTTCCGGGAGAGAGCTCGCCCACCTGGAGGACAGCGACCAGGCACGGAAGGTGACAGGCCAGTTCCGGGGACGGGTGGACGGGTGTCTGTGCCCCGGAGGCGCCAGTGAGCAAGTCGCCCTCTCGTGCAGTTCCTGTTCCTGGCTGACGTGCTGCAGTGGCGTGCCCACACCACTCCTGACCACCCGCTGTTCTTGCTGCTGAACGCCAAGGTGAGGCAGTGTCACGCCCACGGGGCTTGGAAACACCTGTGGGCCGGTGGAGCCCTTTGCTTGTCTAGTTCATGGTGCCAGTGTCCTGGTTGTTCTCATGTTTAGAGAACAGGGTGCCTGTGGACTCAGCCCCCGTCCTGGTTGTTCTCATGCGTAGAGAGCAGGGTGCCTGTGGACTCAGCCCCCTTGTCTGGTGCGGTTCTCGCTGCCTGCCCTTTCCTTTCTTGTTTTCCACACATTTCACACAATAGTATTTCTATTGATTTTGTGTTTAGCAGGAAAATTTTTATCAGCTCAAGTTTTTAAAATTAAAAACAGTATACATGTAAATATTCCTAAGTTTGTGAGCTAAAAGGAAATGTTTATTTTGTAAAAAATTAGCCATTTAGAATTTCTACATTTGGTTACAGCTTTTAAATGACAAATGTTGCTTCCTGCCCTGCTCCTGCTGCTGATTTGGAAATTCTCATGTGTTTCAAGTTCCTGTTGTGTGCATTCCACTGTGCTAGGAACATTCAGGATGTCAAGAAGGAGAAGCTGTAATCTTCATATTCAGGTTGTGGGCAGGAATGCGAAATGCGGAAACACAGAAAGTTAAATAACTTAAAACCCTGCAAGGCTTCCTGTCCCACGCACCATACAAGCTGTAAGAACTCTTAAGCTTTGGTGTCGTAAAGAGTAGGTCACTGTGGCTTAGAATATGCTCTTCTAGCTCTTGGTGCTGCTCATTCGAATTAAAAAAATACTTAATGATGCCTACAATGTGCACAGTGCACAGTAATAAGATTAAAAGGACCCCTACTCTCAGGAGGCTTAAAATCAGTCTTTCCTGCTAGAAAACAAGTTCCGTAGGAGAGAGACTTTGTTTTTCTGGTGTATTGGAAGCATCTAGAACCATGCCCAGTAAACATTTATTTTATGATTGATTGAGTTCTAAAGCCTACAAACCAGCCAGTGATTTATCATTGACCAAGGTAAAATCAGCTTATGGTGTGAACCTCAGTATCAATACAGTGGAGTGATGTAACCTGGAGTGCTGGGGAGGGGGCTTTGAATGGAACTGGGTAGCAGGGGCTATGAAGAATGATGCCCAGTGGCTCAAGGCAGGAAAGGAGGCCAGTGTGGTGGGGGCCAGGTGGTCCCAGGTAGGGGATGCAGATAAGGCTGGGGGTCGCTGGGTTTTCCCTAAGGATGCAGTGGGATCCCAGACCTTGCGGGCTTTGAGTCCCAGTCCAGATCTCAGGTTCTGTCCTGATGGGGCCCTGACTCATATGGACTGGCAAAGCTTCCGGGATTTGGAATCTCAGGATCTGCCCAGCCCTTGTGCCTGGACACAGCACATAAGTGCGTCCACTGGTCTCTCTCTTCCACTGCCTTCTGTCAGTAGAAGCCACCAATCGAGAAACAGGGAGTTTTGATGTTACACTGGTCTGCTCTGGAGTTTTATATTTATTAGACTGAATTGCACTTTTTATCTTCTTAAGAAGGACTAAAAAAGCTGCGAGGCCTGGCAGGGGATCAGGGAGGATGAGTGTCCTGAGCAGAGAGGTAGGGTTACCAGGTATTTCTGTTTGCCTTGAACTGGTCACATAGCCCCAGTGCCCCTCAGCAGAGAGACAGGGTGAATGAAGGAGCTGGTGTAGTCAGTCCTAGAGGAGACACACAGATGCCTCTGAGAAAGCCGGTTGCAGATGACACACGCCCAGGCTCAGTGCAGGTGACCTGTGGGCATGGAAAGTAGTACAATTCAGGGATGTTTGCTTATCGCTTATTATGTATTTATAATGGTGTCGTATGGAATATTTTATTGAAAAGGCCAGAAAGGTCTTCTTTACCCACGTGTTTCTGGCTCTGCCCTGGGTGAATGGAGTGCCCGCATCTCTCCCTCTTAGCTGGGACCACACAGGAGATACTTGCATGCCTGTCCCTTCACTGCTAGTGAGAGAGTACAGATGGTGAGAAAAGACACCAGTCGTGGACCATGTGCGGTGGCTTATGCCTGTAATCCCAGCACTTTGAGAGGCTGAGGCGGGCAGATCACTTGAGGTCAGGAGTTCGAGACCAGCCTGGCCAACATGGTGAAACCCCATCTCTACCAAAAAAAAGACACCAGCCGTACGTCTAGGACTGACACATTGTCATTATCATGGACGCTAATCACAAGGTGTCGTGTGCAGTGGCGTGCAGGTGGTGTGCACGCAGATCTGCGAACAGCCCACCTGCACGCACCAGCATACAGATGAGCTCAAAGATCGCTTTCCTAGGGCACCGTCACAAGCACTGCAACCTGTGTCCAGCTGCACAAAAGGGCTGAGAGAGTGGCCGCGGCTCTGATGGAGAAGGGAAGACTGAGTGTTGGGGACCATGTGGCTCTGGTCTACCCACCAGGTGGGCTCACTGTGGGGCTGTCCACCTGCAGCTCTTTGTAAGCAGCCTCCTATCCTAAGCAGCCCCCTAGACACTCCCTCCCCGAAGCATCTTCCAAAACTAAGCTCAGCCCCTCCTCTCTGCATGTGTCTGCCTCCTCAGCTCAGCTACCCCTGTGGAAACCCAGGAGTCACCCATGCCCCCCCAGCACCACCTCCCCTCCTCTCTCGCAGGAACAGTGAACAGAGGCTGGTGGGAGCCTCTTGCGGCCGGCCTCCTCACAGCCAGTCCTTGTCTCCACAGGGGTGGACCTCATTGCCGCGTTCTATGGCTGCTTGTACTGTGGCTGCGTGCCTGTCACCGTGCGGCCCCCGCACCCTCAGAACCTCGGCACCACACTGCCCACCGTCAAGATGATCGTGGAGGTGCGCCTACCTGGCCCGCGGGTCAGAGTCTGTGAGTGGGAGGCTGCAAGGCTGCCCTCCGCTGCCCCCTTTTCTGGGCAGCTTGAGAGGCCCCGCCCACCCACCCTTGGCCCCTCGCCATGCAGGTCAGCAAGTCTGCATGCGTCCTCACCACGCAGGCTGTCACACGGCTGCTCAGGTCCAAGGAGGCTGCTGCTGCCGTGGACATCAGGACCTGGCCCACCATCCTAGACACAGGTGCGTGTCCTCGCACTGCCCAGGACCAGTCCCTTTTCCTTTCTTTGTTGTAGGTGTGGTGTGGCCTGGCTGCCGTCCAAAAACACACGTGAGGCAAGAGCAGTCCTGGCAGGAGCCTGGCTGACAGCAGGGGGTGCCCCGGGCCCTGGTGGGGAGTAGGGGTCCCTGTCCCATGTGTAAACCCACGCTCCACTCAGCCCACAGCAGCCGCACCCAGTCCCAAGTGGTGTGGAGCACAGCCTTGCCCCTCTCACCCGCCTCCTACTGGCATGGGGGCTGGCAGCTCTCTGAGGCTTTCTGCAAACGCTTTGAGGACACAGCTCCCACCGCATGCCGCCACTCCAGCATCCCTGTCCCCATCATTGGTGAATGCTGTCATGCCCCATGAAATGCTGAGGGCCAACAGGGTGAGGGTCAGAAACCCCCCTGGCTCCCCTCTGCCGTGGACCTGTCTCAGCCTGGGCTGGATGGGGCTGGGCCAGGGCAGCTGGTGTAGGGGAGGGCAGGCTCAGAGCCAAACAGCTGGCCAGGGCCCCAAAGCCTCACGGGCTTGCCTCAAGGGGAGCGGTGCCTGCCCTGCTGAGCCTGTGTCCAGTTGCACCCAGGGAGGCAGTGGTGTCTGGCTCATGGGGCCACGAGAACTTGATGAAGCACGCAGAACCCAGAGCCCGTCCACAGCTATTCTTGCTGTGGTCGGGACTCGGCTCATCTGGGCTTTGCCATAGGCTCTGTGACTTTTGGCAAATCCCTAGTCCTCTAATCTTTCCTACTGGTCAGTGACGTGATGCCTCCCCTCTTCGCCCTGCCTCGTCCCCCATCCCCACAGGCTCAGTGTGGTCTTGGTGGGACCGGGTAGCGTTTCCATGAAGAATGAAATACGCTTTCCTGAGCACGCACAGCCTGCATCGTCACGGCCCCACTCCCGTCTGAGCTCACTCTCTGCAGGACTCCCAAGGACAAATCATGTGTCGCCTCTTGCCTGTGAAAGCCCAGAGCGTTCAGAATACATGTGGGAACACTAATGTTGCTGGTGTCTCCTGTTTAACAGATGACATCCCAAAAAAGAAGATAGCAAGCGTTTTCAGGCCCCCCTCCCCCGATGTCCTCGCATACTTGGACTTCAGCGTGTCAACCACTGGGATATTAGCGGGAGTGAAGGTAGGTCCTCTGAAATCTTGTTTGCTTCAGCCCCTAGAAATCAGGAGGAGTGGACAGAAAGGATGTCAGATGCAGATTTAAACTGACAGGTCCTTCTTATGCAAAGCACAAAGCAACAATTTTGCTTCTTAAGATTTGTGTTAAATACCAATAAATGCTAAGATGTGATTAGCCTGAGAGTAATGCGTTTTCTGATGCATTATGGTTATGTCTAAACTTTCTGATTTATGACTGTCTAGCTTACAGGAACTGGTGGCTTTGAAGAATCTCTTACCTTGCTGGGAGTCAATAGCTCAATTAAAATTTTTCAGGCGGGGCGTGGTGGCTCACGCCTGTAATCCCAGCACTTCGGGAGGCCGAGGCGGGTGGATCACAAGATCAAGAGATGGAGACCATCCTGGCCAACGTGGTGAAACCCCGTCTCTACTAAAAATACAAAAAATTAGCTGGGCATGGTGGCAGGTGCCTCTAATCCCAGATACTCAGGAGGCTGAGGCAGGAGAATTGCTTGAACCCGGGAGGCAGAGGTTGCAGTGAGCCGAGATTGTGCCATTGCACTCCAGCCTGGGCGACAGAGCAAGACTCTGCCTCAAAAAAAAAAAAAAGAAAAAAATTTTAAAAATTCATTACCCTGAAATTTTGTTTCAAAGATTTTTAGTGTACCATTTCTTGGGTATTATTTAGGTTATATGGGGATTTGAGCCAACCGTCTTTTAAGGAAATAAATATGATGTTTGGTAGTTCGGAGCTATGGTCTAGCCATGTGAACAGCGGACACTGCCATCCACCCTCTCCCCTCCTGAATTTCATTTCACTTTTTTTTTTTGAACTTTATTTTACTCTTAAGATGTCGCACGCGGCCACAAGCGCCTTATGCCGCTCCATAAAGCTGCAGTGTGAGCTGTACCCCTCGCGGCAGATCGCCATCTGCCTCGACCCCTACTGTGGCCTTGGTTTTGCCCTGTGGTGTCTGTGCAGGTGAGTGCAGGGCCCCTGCTGCCTGCCAGGTGGGAGCAGCTCGTGTGGCTCTTAGGAACCTTGGCCTTCTAAGGCACCTTTTCTGGGTGCTCAGGAAGCCGATGAGATGTGTGTGAGTGGGTTTGTTTGGGGATGAAGTGGGTTGGAGTCTGAGTCTGAAATTGAGTGAAAATACATTTTTCATTAAATACACTGTCCGTTATCAGTACTTGGGAAGAATCTGCTTGATTCCTTCAAACACTAGAAAGTGGCGATCCGTCTCTAGAAGTGAATGCCTCTGGAGTGGTGTCCCCGGATCCTCTCCAAGTGTTCGGAGCAGAGCTCAGAACCCCGTGCCTGCCATCCCCCAACCTTCACCCTGTGGCATGTTTTCCACCAAACCCCCCCACTTGGCGTCAGAACAGAAATCATGCCCCTGTTGTGGCTGGAAAAGAAGTGTTCTTGAGGAAGGGAAGAGTGGAGTGCCCAGGGTGCTGGGTGGGCGGGCGGAGCCTCACGAGCCTTCCCTCTCGCAGTGTCTACTCGGGACACCAATCAGTGCTGGTGCCCCCGCTGGAGCTGGAGAGCAACGTGTCCCTGTGGCTGTCGGCCGTCAGCCAGTACAAGGCCCGCGTCACCTTCTGCTCCTACTCTGTGATGGAGATGTGCACCAAGGGCCTAGGCGCACAGACGGGTGTCCTCAGGGTGAGTGCCCAGACCCGGGCTTCTGAGTGTGCTGCAGACCACAGCCCTGGGAAGTTTAAAAACAACAAAACAAAACAAGACTCCCAAGGCCCCTCCCTGCAGTTGGAGGAAGTAGAGAAAACCCTTTCCCACTAGGGGCCCTATGTACACATCTGTCCTCCCACGGCCCACCTGTCTCTGCAGCTCCACACCCCGCAGGAGAGGAGGGTGGGGGGTAGGGCAGGGTCCCTGCGAGATAGCGGGGTGGAAGTCTGGCCGCGTGGGAGGGCAGGTGTGGGATGCAGGTCAGATGGGAATCGTTTAGCGCATCCACACGTAGGATTCTGTGGAACAGACACAGCCTGCGGAGAGGAGGTTGGTGTCCAGCTCCACCTCTGTGTGCCCACCCGGAGATTTCCCAAAACAGTGCCCAGGGCCCTGGCAACTCACTGAGCTGTGGCCGTGGCCTGACCGCTCACCCCTCCCGCAGATGAAGGGGGTGAACCTGTCATGTGTGCGCACGTGCATGGTGGTCGCCGAGGAGCGGCCCAGGATTGCGCTGACCCAGTCCTTCTCCAAGCTCTTCAAGGACCTGGGCCTGCCGGCCCGCGCCGTAAGCACCACGTTCGGGTGCAGGGTCAACGTGGCCATCTGCCTCCAGGTGAGGTGCCTGGGGCTGCGGTTCTCGAAAGCTGGCTGTTGGCAGCATGGAGACCCAGTTTCCCAGTTGTTAATGTGCCGTTTTGTAGCCGCCTGATCTATTTCTCCTTCTCTGGGCCTTTGATATCTCATTTCCATGTAACATTTTAGCTTCAAGGGTTTTATTTTTAAAGATGTTCTATTCTAGTTGGAGAAAGGCTTATTTGGAAAAAAAACACATTGTTTTTGAACAGTGACTAATAACTGTAAGACTCTCTAAGTTAGATATAAAACACAGCTAAGTTCTTAAAGCAAGATTGAACTTACTGTTTTAAGATATCTAGCAATATTAAATTGAAACATTAATAAATGTGGTAATTTGTGTTGACTCAAATTCATTTCTGAAACCATGAAATGTCTTATTAAAAGGAAGCACCAAGTTTCAGGCCAGGAGTGGTGGCTCATGCCTATAATCCCAGCACTTTGGGAGGCTGAGGCAGGCGGATTACCTGAGGTCAGGAATTCGAGACCAGCCTGGACAATATGATGAGACCCCGTCTCTACTAAAAATACAAAAATTAGCTGGCTGGTGGTGCGCGCCTGTTGTCCCGGCTACTTGGGAGGTTGAGGCACAAGAATCGCTTGAACCTGGCAAGAGGAGGTTGCAGCGAGCCAAGATCTCACCACTGCACTCCAGCCTGGGTGACAGAGCGAGACCCTGTCTCAAAAAAAAAAAAAAAAAAAAAAAAAAAACATAGGTAGCACCAAGTTTCAGAGATTGAAGAGCTCACGGCAGTTCTGTTTATTGCTTCCTCAGATAGCTACAGCTGTTGCCCAGATTTTGTACTAGTATCTCAATTTCATTTCTTTCTAAAAACATCTTAAAACCAAATGGCTTTTTAGATAACCCTACATATTGAACGCCTTATTCACCCACATAGTACAAGAATAGCTGGAAGGAAATGGCACCTGTCCGTGCCAGAGCAGGGCTGAGTGCAGGTCTGTCTCTGTTTCCAAAGTGTTTGCTTGGCCTTGTGCCTCCCCATCACAGTGGCAGTGCACGCAGGGCAGGGCGGGGGCTCTGCTCACACCCTCTTCACCACAAAAAGACCCCTGACCACTCAAGCCTCAGACCCTTGTCACGCAGCAGAGGAGATCGGGCGGGAGCCTTTTGTGAGCTCGCTTCCTGTGTAGGCTGTGGCTGAGCGTGGGTGCCGGCCTTTGTGTTAGCGGCTCTGCGTCTGCAAGCCTGGGGCCTCCTTGCTAGACGTCGGAAGGGTATGGATGCCACACATGATTGCAGAAATGATGTTAATGGGATGTTCACGTTTGCTCTTTAAGATACAGAGGTGGGTTTTGCTCTCTCTTTCCCTGTGTTTCTCATGTGGCTGCTGCTTCTGTGTGTGTTTCCTGTGGCTGTCTCCTCCCTGTCTCACTCTGCTGCCTCCTTGGCCTCTGTCAGCCCAACAGGCTGGGAAAGCTGGCTGAGCAGGTATGACCTTGACCTTGACCTTGTTGGTGCCTCTGTGCTTCCCCCTCCCATGAGTTCATGTGACTTTCTCGTGAATTCTAGACAAACATGTTTCTTTTGCTGTCTTACTTTGTTCACAGTGGATATTACTTGACATATTACAAAAGCTCCCTTGTAACCAAATTTAAAAGTAAAACTATTTTCAAAAAATGTTAATGCTCATAGCATTGCCTTGGGAGGAAGGGCTGTGTTTAGTTCCAGTGCAGAGGTGTTTAATTCCAGTGCAGACACAGGTTATGTTGTCTGGGATCTTTAAGGGTGATGTTGATCAGAGTACTCATTTAATTGATGTTCCTTATTGAATAAAATGACACATAATGTCCTTTAGTCGGGATTAATGTTAACTGTAAGATTCAGAAAGGAAGAGAGTAGAAAGGTGAAGGCTGCCATCCATCTCACCTGAGTGAGTCTCGGCTGCGAGCAGTCCCCGGTAGAATTAGGCTGGTTGGTGAGAGGCAAGGCCCTGCCTGACAGCATGGTGGAAATGCCCCTCAAATCCTAATGGTGTTTTCATCACAGCAAGAGACCAGTGGGAATAGAAAGTTGTTAGAACTGAAATGTAAAGTGGCATGATTTGGTGTTTTCAGAGTCATTGAGTGTTTCGCTCAATATTATCAAGCTCTGTGGATGTTTGGATGGAAAGCATCAGACTGCCTGGGGGACCTTGAACCCCTAGGCGGACTCACTGCAGGGAGCAGAGCTGCTACCTTCTTGGGTGTCCCCGGGGGCCAGGGAGGAGCTGCCATGCAGCTGTACCTGTAGAAACAAGATGTTAAGTGAGGCCCCTGAACAGAAGTTCCTCTGCTGCTCTCCTTCCAGGGCACAGCTGGCCCGGACCCCACAACCGTCTACGTGGACATGCGGGCACTGCGCCATGACAGGTAATGCTCCCAGCCTGCCTGGGCCCCATGGATACCCAGTGGCAAAGTGATGCAAACCAGGTCTGCACTGACTATGCACCCCCGGGACCCAGGCATTAGAGGACGGCGGGGCCAAGTCAGGCCTACCGGGACACCTGGATGGGCACATGAGAGGACAGCTGGCTACATTGGGCCATCTGCACCAAGAGGAAGAGGAGAGCTGTGTGCCCCACTCCGGGCGTGCCTCCCAGGGGAGCTCAGTGTCTATCTCTGTGCGCCCGTGTCCCCAGGGCTGCAGTTAACATCCCTTTATCTGTCACACAACCAGGAAGAATAAGAGTGGCCCCTGTGACATTTGGTTCTTTAGAGGGACAGGGACAGAGAGAAGACAAGTAACCCATCTACTGGCAAGAACGTTTCTTACCCGATGACCCATGTGACATTTGGTTTTTAGAGGGATAGGGACAGATAGAAGACAAGTTATCCATCTACTGGCAAGAACGTTTCTTACCTGATGCTGTCATAGGATCTGACTTAGTTTCATCTTGATGAACGATGGTGGTGCATACAGTGTGTGCTTGCTGGTCTGTGGTCAGATGTGTATCAGGGCCCCTCCCAGCTTTGAAGCTCAGATCCCAGTCCTGGATTCTCAAGTATGGCCACACTGTAGCTTGATGTAAACACTAGGTTTAGCTTACTGGGTGCCAGGGGCTTGCTGGGTTCAGGGAGGACCTAAACGAAATGTAGAGTGAGCTGCTGTGAGCACATGGGGTGGGTGGCGAGTGCATGCGGGTGGCGGCACTTGGGACCGCAGCGTGGTTGGGGTGTCCCTGCCATTCATGGCAGGTGTGCTGTGGAAAGGTTGACATCCTGACTGTTGTCAACAGACCCTCAGAGTGATCATTTCCAACGTCATGATCTGCCCTTTCAGACATTACTACCTGTGTAGTAAATTTTGTACTGAAATTGTTCCCTTAATTTTTAGGGTTCGTTTGGTAGAACGGGGTTCTCCGCACAGCCTGCCATTGATGGAGTCTGGAAAGGTAGTGGAAACCAAGACGCGTGCATTCTGAGTCGCGTCTGAGACCTTTGTCTGAAGCATCACCCCGTGGAGGGTGCTGGGGGCTGCGGCTCTGATGAACACAGGTCGACTTCTGGTTGGGGTGGGCTCGGCTGCTGCAGAAGTCTCCTTCCCTCCTTTGTGGCTGGTATATAGAATTACTTAGTTATGTTTTTAAACACACATCTGAGCTCAAAGCCAAGAAAGGGAGAAGTTCAGGTGCAGGAATAAAGAACTCCCGCTGGGTGGGTGGCAGGCCTCAGGCCTCTGGGGCCAGGGCCATGGAGGGGGGTTCCGGCCCACCCACACATTTAGAGTTAAATGGAGTGGCCCTGGCCCTAAGTTGGAGATGGCAAAATCTCATGCCCTAGTTTAGGGTGTCAGCAGGGAAGAGGCCCCCAGACCCTGTCGGGGATCTGGGGGATCCTGAGATGGCCCGAGGACTCCCAGGAAAAAACTGAGATGCTGCAAGAGGTCAGCAGACATAGGCACAGAACAGCATCCTCTGAACCAGGAAGGGTTCAAAGGAAGGAGGAAAAGCCACACAGCCCAGGAAGGCAGCATGAAGAGTAAGCCAGGCTTGATATGAGTCGGGGACCCTGGTGCCTTCACAACCGCAGAGGCAAGGGAAGGAGCTTGGCCACCCTGACTCCGTTCACTGCCATGGCCACAGCCACCTGTGGGGAGTCAGAGAGGGGTCCAGAGAGGGACCCAGCCAAGCCATGTGATGTCCAGGATACAGACTCCTGCAGGGCAGCAGGGGTGAGACTGCGGACAGAAGGCACAGCTGCTGTGAGGGTCTCGAGGTGGGAGCTACAGGGAGGCCAGTGGGACTGGGCTGAGTGTGGGGAGCAGAAGGAGTGCGTGAGTGAGTGAACTCACATGCAGGTGCAGGGGCTTGAAAAGCTCCCTTCCCGTGTCCCCTGTTACAGTCACTTCAGGCGGTAGACCAGCCGAGAGTGGAGTCGGGTGAGCTTAGTGGACAGCACATCTGTGGGAGCCGTGGGCTGCTGCACGTCCTCCCTTCTCTGAGCACAGGGACATGTGAGCCGCCATCGCACACAGCTCTGCATCATCCTTGGTGTAAACTCAGCGGGTTTCCCTGGGTCATGGGGCCTCCACGTCGCTCTTTTCCCTGCCCTGCCATGTACAGCCGCACTGTAATTGTTTAGCTCACCCCCTTTTATTGGACGTTCTTTCCTATTTTGCTGTTACAATCACTTGGGCCTGATAGGTTTGTGTCCTGGAAAGAGCTCTGGTTTTGGGGCTCAGCTGGGACATGCAGGGAGAAGATGGAGGCTCCAACAGCATCTGGGGAAACAGAACAGTCCCACTCCGCCGGGGAGGGTCTGGCGGTAACCGTAGCTCACACCTCCCTGTGGCCCGTCGTCCCCTCCTCTTGCCTGCCCTGAGCCTGCAGTGTCATTGCCCCCATTTCATACGTGAGGAAACTGAGGACACAGAACAAGCATCCAGGCCTTGTGCAGTCAGGTGGTCTGACCTGAGCCCAGTGAGGGAACACTGGGACCGGGCCTGGGAGGCCAGGTAAGAGATGGTGGCCTCTTGCCGTCCTGAATTGGCACAGAGCCAGTGCTCAGTGGTTGGACTGACTCGGAGTCACGGGCAGGAAGAACTTCCTCATGGTCAGGTTCCTGGCCAAGAACTAGGACAGACATGTGCCTCCTGCAGGGCTGGGCACAGCAGGGTCACTGCACCCCTGGATGGATGCCCATCAGGTGCGCTGGCATCACCTGGCTGATTGTCTTTGTAGGCTTAGTGACCCTCTGCCCCTCCTGACACCCAGAGACGGGATCCCTTCTCAGGAACTGGAGTCATTTTGCTTATTTCTATTAACATCTCTTATTTCTTTCAAAATTCAAAGTCAAATTTGGAGCGGCCTCTAAACTTCCTGACCTGACATGAGCACATCAGTCCTGCAGGCCAGCTTCTGAGGGACGTTATTTTAATGTCACTGAATCAAGAGAGTCTCGTGTCATGTTTTCTTTAACAAGGGACATAGCTCTCCTCCTTCCAGATCCTCCCCGGCGTGAAGGTCATCATCGCACACACCGAGACCAAAGGACCCTTGGGAGACTCACACCTGGGAGAGGTGAGCAGGGGCCCATGGGAGGGGCTTGAGCTCTCCAGCCTCACCAGCTTCACCTTCCTTCCCTTTTTGCTTCAGATTTTGGAATTCTAAACTTGCCTTTGGGAATCTACCAGAAACCATTTGGCCCTTGCCCCGTGTACCTCCCAGACCCAGTTCCTATGTAGGATTTTGGGGTACTGTGGGACAAACTGCCTCATCCCTAGGTTGACCTAACCAAGAGAGGGGAACCCCTAGGTTTGAGGGCACTGACAGGTGAGAGGAGCTGCACAGGAACCAGTGGCAGTGTGGAAAACAGCTACCTTGTGCAGGACCCAGCAGCTGCTACGTAAACGTGGTCCCTGGCACCCAGGCAGGAGCACAGACACGGGGAACTGGCAATAGGGAACTCTGCACCAGAAGAGTTCAGGGCCTCCACCTGCAGCTGGGAGGTTTGGGGAGCTCAGAGCCCTTGTCCTGAGGACACAGTGGAGGGTGCGGGTCTCCCTGAGAACACAGAGGCTATACAGGAATCCGTTGGGTTGAAATGTCTACATGTATTGCACGTACATCTTGCTGTAATTTGGGACAGGCATGACTCATTATTTACAGGCAGTGGTGGCAGCTTGACGTGCAGTCCCGAATGTGCAGATTGATCTGTTGTCATGGGAGCATAAGGACTCACGTTCCTAGTCCTATCCTCTTGGGGAATGTGCTGTCAAATTGATGTCTTCAAACCAGGCGGGCACAGGCATCATTTGTGAGCTCTGCTGTGAAGCCAGACTGGGGGCTTCCAGCAAGCCGTGCCCAGAGGGAAATCACTCAGCCTCAGCTGGCTTCTCCTGACTGGGACAAGGGTGTGAGCGTGCGGGCCCTCAGGTGGTCTTACCGTGTCCTGATGGGAAGGTGTCCTGGGTCCCAACCCTGAGTGTGGCTGGTGTGAGGGACCCTCCCCTCAACCGTCCCACTTCCTGCACAGCCAAACCCAGGTCTGTAAGTCAAGGGTGTACCCCCAAGAAATGGAGAGTCTGAGCCAGGCATGGTGACCCACCCTTGTGGCAGATGCTCAAGGGAAACGCCCCTATTGGCCACCCCGTTCTCCTCTTTCAGACGCTGCCATGCAGGGGCGTCTTAGAGCCAGTCGAACTGACCGTGGGTTCTGGACGGACTCTCTCTAGAAGGGCCCCATGACACTTGGTCCTGCAGGCACAGGCCTCTGGTCCCTTGGTCTCTGCATGGATGCACAAAATGCTTACGTGTGTAGATATGAGGGTGCACACAAACACGTGGACAGGTGGATACACACACGTGAACACGGATAGCGGACGCACACACACGCGCGTGGGGCTGACGTTAACCCTGGGATGTGCCGTCTGTTTTCAGGGCCTCTGTCTTACTGTGAGTCTGAGCAGCTGCACGCTCTCCACTCTGTAAGAACCCTCATTCCTTCAGCCTGTCCCTGTTGTGGAATGTGGGTTGCTCCCGGCCCTCTCTTATTACCAACAATAGTTGGATGTGAGGAAGGTGGAATTGCCCCTCTCGACTTACCCACGTAGGATAGAGTCCTACAGATGACATTCTTGGGTCAAAGGAAGAAACACAGTATTTAAGGAGAGAAAAGTTCTGTTTGCTTTCTGTGCCTGTAATTTAACTTAGTTCATAAAATAAGAGACAATGAATATTATCCGCCCCGACTTCGTTCAGTGTTTTCTGGAGCATTATTCTTGGCCAGTGGATGTCTCGTGACAGAATCTGAACTCGGTGGTTGGTAACACATCACATTCTTGTCCTCTGGGCCCACCAGATCTGGGTAAGCAGCCCCCACAATGCCACCGGGTACTACACCGTTTACGGGGAGGAGGCGCTTCATGCCGACCACTTCAGTGCCCGGCTGAGTTTTGGAGACACACAGACCATCTGGGCAAGGACCGGCTACCTTGGCTTCCTTCGGCGAACAGAGCTCACTGATGCCAGTGGAGGTGAGGGGTTGTGGTGAAGCCCTGCGTGAGTGCTGTGCGGGGAGGACCTGGGCTCCCCAAGAGCTTAGTCACCTGCTAGCACACCTCACTCCTTGCTGTGGTCTGGTATTGCTCCTTGTGGGGGGAAGATGTTCTGACAGCAGTTTTCTCTGAAAATACTGTTTTCCCTCCATGACTGCCCCTCACTGTCCTTGGGCCCTTGGCCTCTGCTGAGGGCGTGGGGGACGGTGTTGGTGATAAGGCTACCAGGCTTCTCCCCGAGGCCAGACCGGTCTCTCTGCCGCTGTGTCTTTACCAGTGGCTTCCCCATGCACAACCCATTTAAGGTTGTGGTCAATGTCCAGAGGACTCTGTGCAGCCACCACAAGCTGGCCAGATAAGGCAGAACTTTTGGTAGCTCCTATAGATGGTGTCCCGTTCACAGAGATAAGTTATTTTTAATAATACGCTCACACTTGCTGTAACTTTCCTGAGGTGGTTCCGTGCTGCAGAGATAACAGCCTGCTCTGCCAGGACCTCCATCACCCTTTCTGCACGTGGTGTGCGACCTCATGATGTTTCAGTTGAGACCTCCCTGTGCCTGAGAGCCCCTGGTTGGGCTCAGAGGATACGAATGTCCAGACTCTGCATGCCTTGGCTTTCTGGGCACGTGTAAACACACACTGTTCACAGGGCGGCACGATGCACTGTATGTGGTTGGGTCTCTGGATGAAACTCTGGAGCTCAGAGGCATGCGGTACCACCCCATCGACATTGAGACCTCTGTCATCCGAGCACACAGGAGCATCGCTGAGTGGTAAGAGCCCAGGTGGAGGGCGGCTTCACGTGGTCCCTCCAGCCCTTCCTCTGGGCATGAGTGCTGTGCATCGGTTGGAGCAGAGCAAGGACTGCTGGGCCCTGGGCACAGGCCTCCTGCATTGTCACCCTGGTCTGCAGTGGAGCTGGGTGCCATGTAGATGAGCCCTATCTACCTTGGGCATTGCCAGAGAGGGCTGAGGACTTCTTGTGGGTTCTCCCTCTGGATGTACTCTGCAAAACATGGTGCCAGAGCACACCTCACTGCCTGTGTTTGGGTTTGGCTTGTTTTTTTATCTGTTTCCTTATCAGTGGTAAGCTAAGAGATTGTCCCCAAATGCACAGGCAAAATGTAGATTTCCACAGGTCTCATCCTGAAGTGTTTCTACTTTTAATATGAGTTTCTCACATGGTTGTGACTCCTGATTCCTTCACCTGTAGGGAACTTGTGTTGGGACAGGTACAGCTTTCAGCATCAGATAATGCTCTGATTCTCAGTAAAAGCTTTAGTTGGAATAGACATCCTGTAAAATGGATCTGGCCTGATCTTTAGATTGTAAATGGCCTTAAATAGCTGTGTGACATTGGTGGGCTTCACTCTTCTTTGTGCCACCCTTTCCCAAGCATTCATTGGCCCCTGTGACCTGTGCCTGTATCCATGTGACCCAGTCTGTCTTCTCTCTGCAGTGCCGTATTCACCTGGACCAACCTGCTGGTGGTGGTGGTGGAGCTGGATGGGCTAGAGCAGGATGCCCTGGACCTGGTGGCCCTGGTGACCAACGTGGTGCTGGAGGAGCACTACCTGGTCGTGGGAGTGGTGGTCATCGTGGACCCAGGGGTGATCCCTATCAACTCTCGGGGTGAGAAGCAGCGCATGCACCTGCGGGACGGCTTCCTGGCTGACCAGCTGGACCCCATCTATGTCGCCTACAACATGTGAGCGCAGCACACCGGCCCAGGTGCCGGAGATGAATGAGCCCCAGCAGTCCAAGGTGTGATGTGGGAAGACACCGCAGAGCTCACTCACCGGGACTCGCCCTTCCTGTGCTCTTACAGATCCCTCTCAACAATCCCCGCATCTCCTTTTAGAAAGCACTTCCTGAATTATTTAAAGAAATATTTTGAATCTGCCAAGTACATTTACAAAAACACGGATGCTGGTATTTTAACAGATGGAGAGACAAGGAAAGGAAAGGAAAGGCCTGGCATGGGCATTGTGAGGAATCACAGGCACCGAGGTTGTTCTCTGCTGTACTGCAAGTTTGCACTTTCTTTAGGCTAAAAATATAGTTCCTGATTTTTAAAATTCAGTTATTTATTCCCACTTCAAATGACAAGTTCATATATAGAATTTACGGGAGAAACTTGAGACCATTTACGGGGAGAAACTTGATTCTGGGAAGATAGCAGAGTACAAACCAGCTGCCTCACTTCTGTTTCACAGGGAGGCTGATGGAAAAAGGAAGCAAGCTGGACCCATCCTCCCTGCTCACAGAGGGCACTGTGGTCACACACAGTGCCTCCTCTGCCAGTTCCTTTATTGAAAGAGGTGTGCTGGCTGGCCACGGTGGCTTACACCTGTAATCCCAGCACTTTGGGAGGCCGAGGCGAGCAGATCACGAGGTCAGGAGACCGAGACCATCCTGGCTAACATGGTGAAACCCTGTCTCTACTAAAAATACAAAAAATTAGCCGGGTGTGGTGGTGGGCGCCTGTAGTCCCAGCTACTTGGGAGGCTGAGGCAGGAGAATGGTATGAACCAGGGAGGCGGAGCTTGCAGTGAGCCGAGATCACGCTACTGCACTCCAGCCTGGGTGACAGCACGAGATGCCGTCTTAAAAAAACAAAAAAGAGGTGTGCTGCTTGTCAGCATGTATTGTCACGGACACTCAATAAGTGCCATTTTGGACTGTCAAATTTAGATGCTTTGTTTCAGAAAGATAAGCCAGCATTTAGTTTTAAATCACTTTCCTGGTTTGTAACTTGATGCTGTTTAGTTAAATTGCTAGTTTTCCTAACACTACAATATTAATTCTTCTCGTGGAAGTGTACTGATTTATTATTTTTATTCCAAGTCAGCAGATTTGGAAGCATTGTGGTAAAGTCTAAGGTTTTCATATCCATAGTGCTGTTTGGTGAGTACCGGCAGTACAGTTGAGGGGAGCAGGGAACAGCATTGCCCCGTATTGAAGGTGGAGATGGTTACATTCTTCACTGCTTTTTGCATTTTGAGTTGTGTGCCTATAAAATTTGGCCAAACCATTTTATTATTTTGTTCAAACTTGACTAAGCTGAGTGATCTAAAATTATACAGAACCTAAATCAAAGAAGAGAATGTAAAGTCCTTTAGTTACTTCTAAGAATTTGAAGTCAAGCACGAATCTAAGACATAGATTATTTTTATATAGCTAATGAAGAGTATGTTACGAAATTGTTGGGTTTTTGGGGTATTGAGGGTGGCAAATTTTGTGAATCATGCATGCTTCACAGAAACAACCAGGTTTTTCCAGAATTAGTCTGGATCAGTGCCTAACAAAGCTGTTATTAATTCTCCACACATGAGTCTGGCTAACTGGGCCAGCTCTCATGTTTTACTCCTGTCTGGCTACAAATAGCACTGTGCATAGTAGCCCTGTTTCCCCATGGTGTTGGACTGTGGTAAAGTATGTTGTGACATACTGGAATTCTAATAATCCTGTTGTAAGTATGTACAGAATCTATGTAACTTATTGTTGACATACAGAGGTTTGGGAAGTAGTCTAATGGACATTCCTTACAATAGAATGGCTGGGAAGGGAAAGAAAAAAAAAAAAAAACTACCTAACTCCAATCTTAATGTTGTAGTTTTATAGCAAACAAAAATTGTCAGCTTTTTGTATTGAAAGGTCAGTGGTGGTAAGACAAGGTGTCTTGTAAATTAAGATTTTAAGAAGTGCATTAAAATGTTTTAGAATTACTCTGGGAATTCTGTATATCACACTAAAATTTTTATATCATTATGTTAATAAAAGTTATTGACTTTGTAATTCTGCATTTTGAAATGTGTGAAAAGGGTCTTTAAATTACCCCGAATAGGTTGTATCTTATTTTGCTTTTTTTCTGACTATAAAAGCAGTTATGCTTATAGCATAAAATCTAGAAAGCACATTAAAGTATAAAGAAAATTAAAATTTCTTATAATTCTACCTCTGAGTAAACAGCAGCATTCGTATGTAACATAAACCCTCTCAGGGATTTATTTTTTCTTTTTAAAAATTTTTTACAAAATTAGGATCAAGTGCTTTTTTAAATAATTTGCTTTTGTACTTAATAAATTATAGACTTTAAAATCTATTACATATATTCTTCTACATGTTTCAGTGGCTGTATTTTACAAGTGTGCCATGAGTAAATGTAGTATTTGCTGTATTGCCGTACATCAGCGTTGTTTCAACAGGACTGCAGTGAGCCCAGATGCACGTTTACACTGCCATGATTACAATTACTGCCTTGGGCTCAGTTCTTATAGGTAGAGTGAGTGGGTCAGAGTTCATGCCAGGTGTGAAGCTTTGGGTACCTGCTGCCCTCCAGAAGGGCAGGATGACAGCATGGAAAAGGCCTCTTTGCAGATGCCAAGTAATGTTGGCAATGGACATGTGCTCAAGATTAAAATAACTCTTTAACAATTTGATAGGCAAATAAGTGTTGTGTCTGGTCATGTTGAATATGTCCTCGTGTTCATGGCCATTTTTAGTTCTTATCTGATGTATTTTGTTCAGATTTGGCAGTCCTTATGGTCAAGTTTTTTCTTACTGACATGTAGGAGTCTCTTTCTATTAAGAATTATAACCTCCATATACTTCTTACTTTTTCTTGTGGGTTATTTGTATTTTGGTTCTATCTGTTTTGGTGCAGATGGTTTTTTAGATGTTATATTTATGCAAACTGGTTATTGTGTTTGATTTCAGATTATGAATATAGCTGATTTATTTCAAAGTGGTTCTACTGGAATGATCAGCATAAACCAATGGGGAGTACATGGCAGAGAAATAACTAACCTCCAGTATTTGCCTGGTTCCTGCCACAGTGCTGGCCTTCATGTTGGCAGTTCCAGAAGTGGGGTTGAGGGAGAGAGAGAATACTTGAAGAAATAATGGCTGAAGACTTCCTAAATTTGATGAAAGACCTGAATATAAGCATCCAAGTAGCTCAACAAATTCCAAGTAAGATGAACTCAAAGAGACCACACAGATACCAACATTTCAGAAGCCAAAGCCAGAGAATTTTGAAAGCAACAAGGGAGAAGCAACTTGCTACATACAAAGGATCCTCAGTAACAGGTCCCCAAGCCCTGGGCCACAGACTGTTAACAGTCTGTTAGGTACCAGACCACACAGCAAGAGGTGAGTGGTGGGTGAGTGAGCATTACCACCTGAGCTCTGCCTCCTGTCAGATCAGTGGTGACATTAGATTTTCATAGGCATGCAAGCCTTCTTATGAACTAACTGCACGTGCCAGGGATCGAGGTTGCACACTCCTTATAAGAATCTAATGCCTGATGATCTGAGGTGGGACAGTTCCATTCCAAAACCATCGTCCTGTGCCCCCTGGTCTGTGGAATAATTGTCTTCCACAAAACCAGTCGCTGGTGCCAAAAAGGTTGGGGACTGCTGCTCAATAAGATTATCAGCAGATTGCTCATCAGAAACTAGAGGCCAGAAGGTAGTGGGCCAATATATTGAAATTTAAAGTAGTTTTTTCTAATTCTGTGAAGAAAGTCAATGGTAGCTTGATGGGGATAGCATTGAATTTATAAATTATTTTGGGCAGTATGGCCATTTTCACGATATTGGTTCTTCCTATCCATGAACATGGGATGTTTTTCCATTTGTTTGCATCCTCTCCTATTCCCTTGTGCAGTGGTTTGTAGTTCTCCTTGAAGAGGTCCTTCACATCCCTTGTAAGTTGTATTCCTAGGTATTTCATTATCTTAGTAGCAATTGTGAATGGGAGTTCACTCATCATTTGGCTCTCTGTTTGTCTGTTATTGGTGTATAAGAATGCTTGTGATTTTTGCACATTGATTTTGTATCCTGAAACTTTGCCGAAGTTGCTTATCAGAGTAAGGAGATTTTGGGCTGAGATGATGGGGTTTTCTAAATATACAATCATGTCATCTGCAAACAGAGACAATTTGACTTCCTCTTTTCCTATTTGAATATGCTTTCTTTCTTTCTCTTGCCTGTTTGCCCTGACCAGAACTTCCAATACTATGTTGAGTAGGAGTGGTGAGAAAGAGCATCCTTGTCTTGTGCCGGTTTTCAAAGGGAATCCTTCCTAGTTTTTGCCCATTCAGTATGATACTGGCTGTGGGTTTGTCATAAATAGCTCTTATTATTTTGAGATATGGTCCACCAATACCTAGTTTATTGACAGGTTTTAGCTTTTAATAATAAAGTTTATAATGTAAAAAATAAAAAATTTTTAGAGAAAAAAGTTTATAAAGATGTCTAAAAATGTTTTGCACAGTTGTACAATGTGTTTTAAGCTAAATGTTTTTACAAAATAGCCAAAAACTTAAAAACATTTGAAAGTTTATAAAGTTACAGTAAGCTAAGGTTAATTTATTATTGAAGAAAAATTATGTTTAGTGTAGTCTAAGTGTACAATGTTTATAAAGTCTATAGTAGTGTACAGTAATGTCCTAGGCCTTCACATTCATTCACCACTTACACCCAAAATAACTTTGAGTTCTACCAGCTCCATTAATGGTAAGTACTTACTATGATTTGAGTGACCCCCAATGTGGCAGTATTAAGAGGTGGGGCCCTTAAGAGGTGATTGGATTAATCTATTCAAGGATTGATAGATTAATGGATTATCATGGGAATGGGGCTGATGGCTTTGTAAGAAGATGAAGACCTGAGCTAGCATGCTCAGCGCCCCCACCATATGATGCCCTGCACTACCTTGGGAGTCTGCAGAGAGTCCCTACCAGCAAGAAGACCCTGACCTGATGTGGCCCTCAACCTTGGACTTCTCAGCTGCTATAATTCTAAGAAATAAATTCATGTTTTTCTTATAATGTAGCCAATTTCAGGTGTTCTGTTATAAGCAACATACAATGGACTGAGTGCCCTGTACAAGTGTACTGATTTTAATCCTTTATACTGTATTTTTACTACCTTTTCTAAATTTGGACATGTGTTTAGATATACAAATACCAGTGCATTACAATTGCCTACAGTATTTTGTACAGTTACATGGTGGACAGGTTTGTAACCCAGGAGCAATAGGCTATATCATATAGCCTAGGTGTGTTGTAGGCTAGGTTTGTGTAGATACATATACACTGTATGTTGTTCCCCCAATGATGAAATCACCTAAAAACACATTTCTCAGAACATATTTCTGTTGTTAAGTAATGCATGGCTGTATGCACAAAAGGAAGTGAGAAAGGGATTTAAATGTTTCATTAAAAAAAAACACAGAAGGGCGCAATACAAGAAATGAAAGAGATATAAGGCATATAGAATATGAAGTGACAGAAGTAAGTCTCTCCTTATTGATAATTACTTTATCTGTAAATAGATTAAATGGACAGAGATTGGCAGAATGGGGAAAAAACAGGATCTAACTGTATGCTGTCTACAAGAGACTCACATCCAAAGACACAGTATTAATATATTGAGAGTGACAGGATGGAAAAATATATTCACTGGGCACAGTGGCTCATGTCTGTAATCCCAGCGCTTTGGGAGGCTGAGGCAGGTGGTTTTCTTGAGCCCAGGAATTTGAGACCAGCCTAGGCAACATGAAGAGACCACATCTCTACCAAAAAAATACAAAAATTAGCTGGGCATTGTGGCTTTCTCAGGAGGCTGAGGTGGGAATATTCCTTGAGCCTGATGGGTGGAGATTGCAGTGCACCAAGATCACAACACTGTACTCCAGCCTGGGAGACAGAGTAAGACCCTCTCTCACAAAAAAAAAAAAAAAAAAAAAAAAAAAAAAAAAAAAAAGATATTCCATGCAAATAGTAATCAACAGGGAGCAGAGGTAGCTATAATAATATAGTTTAAATAAAAAATGATTACAAGAAATGATGGACATTAATAAAAGATTCAATTCAGCAAGATGTAACAATTGTAAACATTTACACATACAATGACAGATCATCAAAATATATGAAATGAAAACTGACAATAGAAGGGAGAAAGGAGAAATAGACAGTTCTATAATAATAGTTGGAAATGTCAGTGCCCTGCTTTGAATAATGGATGGAACAATAAGACATAAGTAAGGAAATGGAGGCTTTAAACAGCACAACAAACTAACTAGATCTAACAGACATATGCAGAACATTCTACCCAACAATAAAAATAGAATACACATTCTTCTCAAGTTCACATGGAACATTTTCCAGGATAGACAACATGTTAGGCCACAAATTAAGTCTCAATAGATTTAAAAATATACAAAGTCTCTCCTTAAACCAAACTGGGATAAAGTTAAAAATCTATAGCAGAAGGAAAACTGAGAAAATACAGAAATTAGTGAAAATTAACACACTTTCAAACAACCAATGGATCAAAGAAGAAATAACAAGAAAAATTAGAAAATACTTGGAAATAAAAACAATGTACCAAAACTTATGGGACCCAGCAAAAGCAGTGCTAAAGAAGCAATTTATAGCTATAAATGCTTACATTAAAAACCAAGAAGGACCTCAAATTAACAAACTAACATTACAACTTAAGAAACTAAAAAAGAAGAACAAACTAAACCCAAAGTTAGCAGAAGTAAGGATTAGTGCAGAAATAGATGAGAGACAATAGAAAAACAGAGAAAATCAAGAAAGCCAAAAATGGTTTCTTTGAAAAGATCAACAAAATTGACATTTTAGCTAGATGGACCAAGAAAAAAAGAAGACAGATTACTAAAATCAGAAATAAAATTGGAAACGTTACCAATTCTACAGTAATAAAAAGCATTAAAAAATACTATGCACAATTGTATGCCAACAAATGGAAAAACCTAGAATAGACAAGTTCCTAAAAACACAAAACATATCAAGACTAATCATGAAGAAATAGAAAATCTGAGTAGACTTATAACTAGTAAGGAGATTGATTTAAGTAATAAAAGATCTATTGACAAAAACCTGATGGCTTCATTGGTGAATTCTACCAAACATTTAAATAACTAACACTAATCCTTTTTAAACTTTTTCAGAAAGTTGAGGGAAAACTTTCAAACTTACTCTATGAGGCAAGCATTATCCTGATACTGGAACCAGTCAGACACTACAAAAACAGAAAACTACAGACCATGATTCCTTCTGAACATTGATGTAAAAATCCTCAATAAAATACTAGCAAACTGACTTCAGCAGCATATTAAAAACACTATATAGCATTACAAAGTGGGGTTTACTCCTGGAATGTAAGGATGATTCAATATATAAAACAATCAATGTAATAAACCATATTAATGGAATGAAGGGGAAAAACCACATGTGATCGTCTCGATTGATGCAGCAAAGGCATTTGGCAAAATTCAGTACCCTATAATGATTAAAGAAAAAAACAACTAGGAATAAAAGGAAACTACTTCAACATAATGAAGTCCATATATGAAAATCCACAACAAACATCATACTCAGTAGTGAAAATCTGCAGAAGCTTTTTCTGATAAGATCAGAAACACAGCAAGGATGACTGCGTTTGTCACTTCCACTCAACACAGAACTGGAAGCTCTTAGAGCAATTAGGCAAGAAAAAAAGGATTCTAAATTGGAAAGAAACAATTCAAATTATCTCTGCCAATGATATAATCTCATATGTAGAAAGGCCTAAAGATTCCACAAAAAAAAGTAGCACTAATAAATTTAGCAACATAGCAGGATACAAGGTCAACACACAAAAATAGTTGCATTTTCATACACTCACAATGAACAATTCGAAAAGGAAATCAGGAAAACAATTCCATTGACAATAGCATCAAAAAATATTTAGGAATTAACCAAGGAGATGAAAGACTTATAAAATGAAAAGTACAAAACATTGAATGGAAAACATCGAACAATACAAAGAAATAAGTGGAAAGACATCTTATGTTCATGGATTGGAAGTCTTAATATTGTTAAGATGTCAGTACTACTCAAAGCCATCTACAGATTCAAGGCAGTCCCTATCCAAATTCTAATTATGGTTTTTGCAGAAAGACTAACTCATTCTAAAATTGATATAGAATCTAAAGACACTCTGAATAAACAAAGCAATTTTGAAAAAGAAAAAGCTGTAAGACAGTTCTCCAAATAAGATATACAAAAGGTATACACCTTTGAAAAATGAAAGCAAAATAAGGACATTCTTAGATAAGCAAATTTTGTTGTTGGCTGACATCACCATAAATACTAAAGAAAGTCCATCAGACTGAAAGCAAGTGACCCCCGATGGCAATTTTTAAAAATTTTTAAGTTCTAGGGTACATGTGCAGGATGTGCAGATTTGTTTCATAGGCAAACATGTGCCATGGTGATTTGCTGCACCTATCAACCAATCACCTAAGTCCAGCATGCATTAGCTATTTTTCCTGATGCTCTCCCTCCCCCAGTGTCCCCCCAACAGGCCCCAGTGTGTGTTGTTCCCCTCTGTGTGTCTATGTGTTCATAATGTTCAGCTCCCACTTATAAGTGAGAACATGTGGTGTTTGGTTTTCTGTTCCTGCGTTAGTTTGCTGGGGATAATGGCTTCCAGCTCCATCCATCTCCCTGCAGAGAACACAATCTAATTCCTTTTTATGATTGAATAGTATTCCATGGTGTAAATGTACCACATTTTCTTTATCTAGCCTACCATTGACAGCCATTTGGGTTGATTCCATGCCTTTGCTATTGTGAATAGTGCTGCAATGAACATACATGTGCATATATTTTTGTAATAGAATAATTTATATTCCGCTGGGTATATACCCAGTAACGGGATTGCTGGGTCAAATGGTATTTCTGGGTCTAGGTCTTTGAGAAATTGCCACACTGTCTTCCACAATGATTGGACTAATTTGCATTCCCATCAACACTGTAAATGCATTCCTATTTCTTTGCAGCCTCACCAGCATCTGTTGTTTTTTGACGTTTTAATAGTTGCCATTCTGACTGGTGTGAGACAGTAGTATCTCATTTGTGGTTTTGACTTGCATTTCTCTAATGATCAGCGATATTGAGCTTTTTTTCATATATTTGTTGGCCGCATGAATGTCTTCTTTTGACAGGTGTCTGTTCATGTCCTTTGCCCACTTTTTAATGAGGTTGGTTTTTTCTTGTATATTTGTTTTAAGTTCCTTGTAGATTCTAGATATTGGGCCTTTGTCAGATGAATAGATTGCAAAAATTTTCTCCCATTCTGTAGGTGGTCTGTTTGCTCTGATGATAGTTTCTTTTGCTGTGCAGAGGCTCTTCAGTTTAATTAGATCCTATTTGTCAATTTCCTTTTGCTTTTGTTGCAATTGCTTTTGATGTTTTCATCATGAAATCTCTGTCCGTGCCTATGTCCTGAATGGTATTGCCTAGATTTTCTTCTAGGGTTTTTATAGTTTGGGGTTCTACATTTAAGTCTTTAATCCATCTTGAGTTAATTTTTGTATAAGGTGTAAGGAAGGGGTCCAGTTTTAATTTTCTGCATATGGATAGCCAGTTCTCCCAGCACCATTTATTAAATAGGGAATCCTTTCCCCATTGCTTGTTTTTGTCATGTTTGTCAAAGATCAGATGGTTGTAGATGGGCAGTCTTACTTCTGGGTTCCCTATCCTGTTCCACCGGTCTATGTGTCTGTTTTTGTACCAGTACCATGCTGTTTTAGTTACTGTAGCCTTGCTGTATAGCTTGAAGTCCAATAGCATGATGCCTCCAACTTCGTTCTTTTTGCTTAGGATTGTCTTGGCTATATGGGCTTTTTTTTGGTATCATATCAATTTTAAAATAGCTTTTTTTCTAATTATGTGAAGAATGTCAATGGTAGTCTAATGGTAATAGCATTGAATCTATACATTACTTTGGGGAGTATGGCCATTTTCACGATATTGATTCTTCCTATCCATGAGCATGGAATGTTTTTCCATTTGTTTGTGTCTTCTCTGATTTCCTTGAGCAGTGGTTTGTAGTTCTCCTCGAAGAGGTCCTTCACTTCCCTTGTTAACTGTATTCCTAGGTATTTTATTCTCTTTGTAGCAATTGTAAATGGAAGTTCACTTAAGATTTGGCACTCTGCCTTGTCTGTTGGTGTATAGAAATGCTTGTCACTTTTGCACATTGATTTTGTATCCTGAGACTTTGCTGAAGTTGCTTATCAGTTTAAGAAGCTTTTGGAGGCTGGGCGTGGTGGCTCACACCTGTAATCCCAGCACTTTAGGAGGCCGAGGTGGGTGGATCACGAGGTCAAGAGATCAAGACCATCCTGGCCAACATGGTGAAATCCTGTCTCTAGTAAAAATACAAAAATTAGCCAGGCGTGGTGGTGTGTGCCTGTAGTCCCAGCTACTCAGGAGGCTGAGGCAGGAGAATTGCTTGAACCTGGGAGGCGGTGGTTGCAGTGAGCCAAGATTGTGCCACTGCACTCCAGCCTGGCAACAGAGCAAGACTCCGTCTCAAAAAACAAACAAACAAAAACAACGACAACAAAAAAAACCTTTTGGGCTGAGACAATGGGGTTTTCTGGATATAGGATCATGTCATCTGTGAACAGAGGCAGTTTGACTTCCTCTCTTCCTATTTGAATATCCATTATTTCTTTCTCTTGCCTGATTCCCTTGCTAGAACTTCCAATGTTATGTTGAATAGGAGTGGTGAGAGGGGGCATCCTTGTCTTGTGCCAGTTTTCAAGGGGAATGCTTCCAGCTTTTGCTCATTCGGTATGAAATTGGCTGTGGATCTGTCATAAGTGGCTGTTATTATTTTGAGGCATATTCCTTCAATATCCAGTTTATTGAAAGTATTAATGTGAAGGGATGTTGAATTTTATTGAAGGCCTTTTCTGTGTCTATTGATATAATCATGTGGTTTTCATCTTTTGTTCCATTTATGTGATGAATTATGTTTATTGATTTGCATATGTTGAACCAGCCTTGCATCCCAGGGATGAGGCCACCTTGATCATGGTAGGATAAGCTTTTTGATGTGCTGCTGGATTTGGTTTGCCAGTATTTTATTGAGAATTTTTGCATGAATGTTCATCAGTCATATTGGTCTGAAGTTTTGTTTTTTTGTTTTATCTCTGCCAGGTTTTGGTATCGGGATGATGCTCGTCTCATAAAATGAGTTAGGGAGGATTCCCTCCTTTTCTATTGTTTGGAATAGTTTCAGAAGAAATGGAACCAGCTCCTCTTTGTACCTCTGGTAGAATTCAGCTGTAAATCCTTCTGGTCCTGGGTTTTTTTTGGTTGGTAGGCTATTTCTTACTGCCTCAATTTCAGGACTTATTATTGGTTTATTCAGAGATTCAACTTCTTTGTGGTTCAGTCTTAGGAGGGTCTTTGTATTCAGGAATTTATCAGTTTCTTCTACATTTTCTAGTTCATGTGCATAGAGATGTTTATAGTATTCTCTGATGGTTGTTTGTATTTCCGTAGGGTCAGTGGTGATATTCTCTTTATCATTTTCATTGTGTCCATTTGATTCTTTTCACTTTTCTTTGTCTAGCTAGCAGTCTATCTATTTTATTAATTTTTTTCAAAAAGCCAGCTCCTGGATTCGTTGATTTTTTTTGAAGGGTTTTTCACGTCTCTGTTTCCTTCAGTTCTGCTCTGATCTTGGTTATTTCTTGTCTTCTGCTAGCTTTGGGGTTTGTTTGCTCTTGGTTCTCTAGTTCTTTTAGTTGTGATGTTAGGATGTCAATTGGAGATCCTCCTAGCTTTTTGAAGTGGGCATTTAGTGCTATAAATTTTCCTCTTAATGCTGCTTTAGCTGCATCCCAGAGATTCTGGTATATTGTCTCTTTGTTCTCATTAGTTTCAAATAAGTTCTTGATTTGTGCCTTAATTTTATTGTTTACCCAGGAGTCATTCAGGAGGAGGTTGTTCAGTTTCCATGTAGTTGTGTGGTTTTGAGTGAGCTTCTTAATCTTGAGTTCCATTTTGATTCTGCTGTGGTCTGAAAGACTGTTATAATTTCAGTTCTTTTGAATTTGCTGAGGAGGGTTTTACTTCCAATTATGTGATCAGTTTTAGAGTAAGTGCCATGTGGTGCCAAGAAGAATGTATATTCTGTTGCTTTTGAGTGGAAAGTTCTGTAGATATCTATCAGGTCTACTTAATCCAGAGCTGAGTTCAAGTTCTGAATATCTTTGTTAATTTTCTCTCTTGATGATCTAACTAATATTGACAGTGGGGTGTTAAAGTCTCCCGCTATTATTGTGTGAGAGTCTAAGTCTCTTTGTAGGTCTCTAAAAACTTGTTTTATAAATCTGGGTGCTCCTGTATTGGCTGCGTATATATTTAGGACAGTTAGCTCTTCTTGTTGAATTGAACCTTTTACCATTGTGTAATGCCCTTCTTTTTTTTAATCTTTGTTGGTTGAAGATTTGTTTTGTCAGAAACTAGTATTGCAACCCTTGTTTTTTTCTGTTTTCCATTTGCTTGGTAAATTTTCCTCCACTTCTTTATTTTGAGCCTCATGTGTCTTTGCATGTGAGAGGGGTTTCTTGAATACAGCACACTGATGGGTCTTAACTGTTTATCCAGCTTGCCATTCTGTGTCTTTTAATTGGGACATTTAGTTCATTTACATTTAAAGTTAGTATGGTTATGTGTGAATTTGATCCTGTCATCATAATGCTAGCTGGTTATTTTGCAGACTTATTAATGTAGTTGCTTCACAGTGTCACTGGTCTGTGTACTTCAGTGTCTTTTTGTACAGGCTGGTAATAGTTTTTCCTTTCCATATTTCATGCTATCTTCAGGAGCTCCTGCAAGGCAGGCCTGGTAGTGATGAATTCCTCAGCATTTGCTTGTCTGAAAAGGATTTTATTTCTCCTTCATTTATGAATCTTAATTTGACCATATATAAAATTCTGGGTTGGAAATTCTTTTCTTTAAGAATGTTGAATATGGCCTCCAATCTCTTCTGGTTTGTAGGGTTTCCACTGAGAATTCTGTTGTTAGTCTGATGGACTTCCCTTTGTAGGTGTCCTGGCCTTTCTCTCTGGCTGCCCTTAACATTTTTTCCTTCATTTTGACCTTGAGGAATCTGATGATTATGTGTCTTGGGGCTGATCTTCTCATGGAGTATTTTACTGGGGTTCTCTGGATTTCCTGAATTTGAATGTTGGCCTGTCTTGCTGGTTTGGGTAAGTTCTCCTGGATGATATCCTGAAGTATGCTTTCCAACTTGGTGCCATTCTCCCCATCTCTTCCAGGTACCCCAATCAGTTGTAGGTTCAGTCTTTTTACATAATCTCATAGATCTCAGAAGTTTTGTTCATTCCTTTTCATTCTTTTTTCTTTAATCTTGTCTGCCTGTCTTATTTAAGCAAGATAGTCTTCAAGCTCTGAGATTCTTTGTTCCACTTGGTCTATTTGGCTATTGATATTTGTGGTTGCATTGTGAAGTTCTCAAGTTGTGTTTTTCAGCTCCATCAGATCATTTATGTTCCTCTGTAAACTGGTTATTCTGGTTAACAGCTCTTGTAATGTTTTATCATGGTTCTTAGCTCCTTTGCACTGGGTTAGAACATAACTCCTTTAGCTCAATGGAGTTCGTTATTACCCACATTCTGAAGCCTACTTCTGTCAGTTCATCCATCTCAGCCTCTGTCCAGTTCTGTGCCCTTGCTGGAGAGGTGTTTCAGTCATTCGAAGGAGAAGAGGCACTCTGGCTTTTTGAGTTTTCAGCGTTTTTGCATTGATTTTTTTCTCATCTTTGTGAGCTTGTCTACCTTTGATCTTTGAGGCTGCTGACCTTTGGATGGGGTTTTGTGGGGTCTTTTTTTGTTGATGTTGTTGTTGCTTTCTTTCTTTTAACAGCTAGGCCCCTCTTCTGTAGGGTTGCTGCAGTTTGCTGGGGGTCTACTCCAGACCCTATTCACCTGGATCCCTCCTGCACCTGGAAGTGTCACCAGTGGAGGCTGTAGAACACCAAAGATGGCTGCCTGATCCTTCCTCTGGGAGCTCAATCTCAGAGGGACACCAACCTGATGCTGGTGGGAACGCTCCCGTATAAGATTCCTGACAACCCATGTTGGGGGATCTCACCCAGTCAGGAGGCTTGGGATCCGAGGCCTGCTTAAAGAAGCAGTCTGGCTGCCCCTTGGTGGAGTGGGTGCACTGCACTGGAGGGACTCCTCTTTGTCCAAACTGCCCAGCCTCTTCAGAACCAGCAGGCAGGAAAGATTATGTCTACTGAGTTGTGGAGATCACAGCTGCCCATCCCCCTAAGGACTCCATTCCAGGGAGATCAGAGTTCTGTTTGTAAACCTCTGGCTGGAGTTGCTGAAATTCCCACAGGGAGGCCCTGCCCATTGACGGGGAATGGATCTGGGTCCCACCTAAAGCAGCAGTCTAGCCATGATCTGCCACAGCCACTGTGCTGTGCTGTGGGAAATTCCTCCTGGTTCAAACTACCCAGTCTTCCCCGCACCAGCAGAGGAAAACGGCAGACTGGAGCTGCAGTGATGGTGGCCGCCCCTCCCCCTAGGTACTCAGTTGTCTTAGGCAGTCTCTAGCCAGCTGCCACTAGCTGCAACCTGAGCATCTGGACAGCTCTGTACTTGGGACCCAAGGCTCTGGTGGTTTGGGCTCATGAGGGGATTTCCTGATCTGTGAGTTGCACAGATCTGTGGAAAAAACATGGTTTTCCAGGCAGGTAGCACAATCAGTCACTGCCTCCCTTGGCTGGGGATGGGAGCTCCTCTTGCCCCATGGTGCTCCTGAGTGGTCCATCGCTCCACCCTGCTTTTCCCGACTCTCCATGGGTTGTGCCAACCACCTAGTCAGTCTCAATGAGAGAACCTGGGTACCTCAGCTGAAGGTGCAGGATTCACTCACCATTTTCATTCTTCTCAGTGGGAGCCACCAATGGCAGCTGCTTCTAGTAGGCCATCTTTCCACTTTGCTGGTAATTTTTTTAACAACCAAGTGAATATGCCAAATGGTAACTTGGATCCACAGAAAAAGCAAAGAGAACCAGTAAAGGTAAAGATAATTATATAATGGTAAGACTATAAATGCATTTTTCCTTAACATGAATGAATTAAACAGTTTATTAAAAAGGCAGAGATTGTCAGAAAACCTGTGTAAAAACAAGCAAACAAACAAAAACAAAAAATAAGACCCAACTATATGCTGTCCACAGGAGATACACCTTTTATTCAAAGATACAAATAGACTGACAGTAAAAGGATGAGAAAAGGTACATCATTCAAACAGCAGCCACAAGAAAGCTGGAGTGGCTATACTAATCTCATACAAAATAGACATAACAAAAAATTCCTAGAGACATTTTATAACTATAGAAGGGTCAATCTATCAGGAAAAGCTAACAATTACAAATATGTATGCACCCAACAACAAAACACTACAATACACAAAGCACACAACTGACAGAAATAAGAGTTGGAGACTTCAATGTCTCACTTTCTATAATGAATAACCAAGCAGAAAATCAACTAGGAAATAAAAGATATAACATTATAAACAACTAGACCTAACAAACATCTATAAAACACTCCACACAACAAGAAAGTATACATTCTTCTCAACTGCACATAGAACATTCTCTAGAACACACCACCATATGCTAGGCTATAAAGCAAACCTCTCTAAATTTAAAAGGATATAATACATAAATTATGTTCTCCTACACAATAGAATGAAATTAGGAATTGATATAGTTTGAATTTTTGTTCACTCCAAAACTCATACTAAAAGTTAATTCCCATTTTGAAGGTGTCGGGAGGTGGGAACTTTAAGAGGTGTTTGGGTCATGAGGGTTATGTGCTCATTAATGGGTTAATGCCATTATCACAGAAATGTGTTCATTATCACAGGAGGAGTACTGTTATAAAAGGGCAGGTCTGGCCTCCCCTTGCTCTCTCTTGCCTTTCCACCTCCCACCATGGGATGATGCAGCACAAGGGTCCTGCCAGATGCTGCCCCCTCATTCTTCGATTTCCCAGCCTCCAGAGCTGTGCTAAATAAATTTCTGTTCATTATTAAATACCCAGTCTTAAGTATTTTGTTATAGCAGGACAAATTGGAATAAGACAGAAATCAACAGGAAAAAATTTGGAAAACTCCCAAGCATATGGAAATTGAGCAGCACTCTACTAAATAACCAATGGATCAGAGGAAAACAAAAGGGAAATAAAAAAATACCCTGACATAAATGAAAATGAAGACACAACATATCAAAATTTATGGAATGAAGCTGAAGCAGTGTTAAATGTCTAGCTGCACATGCGTATAATAAGAAAGAAGAAAAATTTCAAATCATTAACCTAGTTTTATCCTGGAAAAAGAAGAGTAAACTAAACCTAAAGAAAGCAGAAGAAAGAAAAGATAAATATTAGAATGGAAATTAATGAAACAGATATTGAAAAGCACAAGAGAAAAACAATAAAACCAAAAACTGAAAAGATTTTTAAAAATTAACAAAACTGTAGCTAGGCTAAGAAAAAAGAGAAGACTCAAATTACTAGAATCAGAAATAAAAAAGGGCATTACTACAGATCTTACAGAAATAACAAAGGATGATAAAGAAGTAGTATGAACAATCGCATGCCAATACATTAGGTAACTTAGATGAAATGGATACATTCCTAGAAAGACACAAACTACCAAACCCCACTTAAGATCAGGCAATCTGAACAGACTTATAACAAGCAAAAATACTGAATAAGCAGTAAAACACCATACCCACCCAGACGGCTTCACCACTAAATTTTACTAAATATTTGAAAAATATTTGAAGAAAAATTAATATCAAATCTTCACTATATATATATATATATATATATATATATATATATATATATTTTTTTTTTTTTTTCTTTTCTTTTCTTGAGATGGAGTCTCGCTCTGTCACCCAGGATGGAGTGCAGTGGCACAATCTTGGCTCACTGCAAGCTCCACCTCCCGGGTTCACACCATTCTCCTGCCTCAGCCTCCTAACAGGGACTACAGGCATGCACCACCACGCCCAGCTAATTTTTTGTATTTTTAGTAGAGATGGGGTTTCACTGTGTTAGCCAGGATGGTCTCGATCTCCTGACCTCATGATCCACCCGCCTCGGCCTCCCAAAGTGCTGGGATTACAGGCATGAGCCACTGCGCCCAGCCTCACAAAATATTCTTAAAAATTGAAGAGGGAACACTCAGTTTATGAAGCCAGTATTATCTGATACCAAAACCAAACATCACAAGAAAACTACAGACCAGTATCTCTTATGAATATGAACAGACAAATCCAACAAAATACTAAAATGAAATCCAGCAACATATAAAAAGAATTGGACACTAAGACCAAGTGGAATTTATTCCAGGAATCCAAGATTGGTTTAATATTTGAAAATTAATATATGCCATATCAATAGAATAAAAAAGCCCACATGATTATCTTTATAGCAGCAGGAGGCAGGTAGAGGCAGGTCCCTGGTGTAACGCGACCTTCAAATCAAAGACAGGTTAAAGCCTGAATGTTGGATTGAGAGGGATCATGGCGGATGGGAGGTAGGACTAGATTGCAGCTCTGACTCAGAGCAGCATGTGGAGACTTGCATCATGAATTTTTCCTCCAGAACAACTGCAAGAACAAATCAAGAAACCTGAGAGGACCCACAGACCCCTTGAAGGAAGCGATTGCTCCTGCAGGACCCAGGAGAGAACCTAAATACTCAGCCACAGCAAGACCCGCCCGAGGAGAGCTTGAGCTCAGATATGCCTAGCCCTGCCCCCACCCAATAGTCCTTCCCTACCCACCCTGGTAACTGAAGACAAAGGGCATATACTCTTGGGAGTTCTAGGGCCCCACCCACTGCCTGTTCCTCCCCATACTACCACAGCTGATGCTGTCTGGAAAGTGCCACCTCTTGGCAGGAGGCCAACCAGCACAAAATAGTGCATTAAACCGCCAAAGCTAAGAGCCCTCACAGAGTCCATTTCACCCCCCTGCCACCTCCACTGGAACAGATTCTGATATACATGGCTGAGAGACCCACAGACAGTTAACATCACAGGACTCTGTGCAGACAACCCCCAGTATCAGCCTGGAGCCTGGTTGACTTGCTGGGTGGCTAGATCCAGAAAACAGATAACAATCACTATAGCTTGGTTCTCAGGAAACCACATCATTAGGAAAAGGGGGAGAGTACTACATCAAGGGAATATCCCATGGGACAAAAGAATCTGAACAACAGCCTTCAGCTCTAGACCTTCCCTCTGAGAGAGGCTACCCAAGTGAGAAGGAACCAGAAAACCAACTCCGGTAATATGACAAAACAAGGTTCTTTAACACCCCCCAGAATCACACTAGCTCACCAGCAATGGGCCCAAACGAAGAAGAAATCCCTGATTTACCCAAAAAAGAATTCAGGAGGTTTGTTATAAAGCTAATCAGTGAGGTACCAGAGAAAGGCAAAGCCCAATCTAAGGAAATCCAAAAACTGATATAAGAAGTGAAGGGAGAAATATTCAAGGAAATAGATAGCATAAATAAAAAACAATCAAAGCTACAGGAAACAATGGACACATTTATAGAAATGCAAAATGCTCTGGAAAGTCTCAGCAGTAGAATTAAACAAGTAGAAGAAAGAAATTCAGAGCTCAAAGACAAGATCTTTGAATTAACCCAATCCAACAGAGACAAAGAAAAAAGAATAAGAAAATATGAACAAAACCTCCAAGAAGTCTGGGATTATGTTAAAAGACCAAACCTAAGAATAATCAGTGTTCCCGAAGAAGAAGAGAAATCTAAAAGTTTGGAAAACATATTTGGGGGAATAATCAAGGAAATGTCTCCAGCCTTGCTAAAGACCTAGACATCCAAATACAAGAAGCACAAAGAACACCTGGGAAATGAATCACAAAAATATCATTGCCTAAGCACAATGTAATCAGGTTATCTAAAGTTAAGGCGAAGGAAAGAATCTTAAGAGCTGTGAGACAAAAGCACCAGGTAACCTATAAAGGAAAACCTATTATATTAATAGCAGATTTCTCAGCAGAAACCCTACAAGCTAGAAGGGATTGGGGCACTATCTTCAGTCTCCTCAAACAAAACAATTATCAGCCAAGAATTTTGTATTCAGCAAAAGTAAACTTCATATATGAAGGAAAGACACAGTCTTTTTCAGACAAATGCTGAGAGTATTTGCCTGTACCAAGCCACCACTACAAGAACTGCTAAAAGGAACTCTAAATCTTGAACCAAATCCTGGAAAAACATCAAAACGGAACGTCTTTAAAGCATAAATCTCACAAGACCTATAAAACAAAAATATAATTTAAAAAACAAAAACAAAAACAATAAGCCAAGGTATACAGCAACATATAGCATAATGAATGGAATGGTGCCTCACATCTCAATACTAACATTGAATATAAATGGCCTAAATGCTCCACTTAAAAGAACTTGCAGAAACTTAAGGTACACAGGTGGAAAAGACATTTCATGCAAATGGACACCAAAAGTTAGCAGGAGTAGCTATTCATATAACAGACAAAACAAACTTTAAAGCAACAGCAGTTTAAAAAGACAAAGAGGGACATTATATAATGATAAAAGGCCTTGCCCAACAGGAAAATATCACAATCCTAAACATATATGCACCTAACACTGGAGCTCCCAAATTTATAAAGCAATTACTAATAGACCTAAGAAATGAGATAGACAGCAACACAATAATAGTGGGGGACAGGCTGGGCATGGTGGCTCACGCCTGTAATCCCAGCACTTTGGGAGGCCGGGGAAGGCAGATCATGAGGTCAGGAGATCGAGACCATGGTGAAACCCCATCTCTACTAAAAATACAAAAAAATTAACCAGGTGCAGTTGCGGGCGCCTGTAGTCCCAGCTACTCGGGAGGCTGAGGCAGGAGAATGGTGTGAACCCGGGAAGCAGAGCTTGCAGTGAGCCAAGATTGCACCACTGCACTCCAGCCTGGGTGACAGAGTGAGACTCCGTCTCAAAAAAATAATATAATAATAGTGGGGGACTTTAATACCCCACTGACAGCACTGAACAGGTCATCAAGACAGAAAGTCTACAAAGAAACAGTGGATTTAAACTATACCCTGGAACAAATGGACTTAACAGATATATACAGAACATTTCATCCAGCAACCAAAAAATATACATTCTATTCAGCACGTGGAACTTTCTCCAAGATAGACCATATGACAGGTCGCAAAATGAGCCTCAATAAATTTAAGAAAATTGAAATTATATCAAGCACTCTCTCAGACCACAGTGGAATAAAAATGGAAATCAATTCCAAAAGGAACCTTCAAAACCATGCAAATACATGGAATTAAATAATTTGCTCCTGAATGATCATTGGGTCAAAAATGAAATCAAGATGGAAATTTAAAAAATTCTTCAACTGAACGACGATAGTGACACAACCTATCAAAACCACTGGGACACAGCAAAGATGGTGCTAAGAGGAAAGTTCATAGCCCTGAACACCTACATCAAAAAGTCTGAAAGAGCACAAACAGACAATCTGAGGTCTCACCTCAAGGAACTAGAGAAACAAGAACAAACCAAACCCAAACCCAGCAGAAGAAAGGAAATAACTAAGATCAGAGCAGAACTAAATGAAATTGAAACAAACAAACAAAAACAATACAAAAGATAAATGAAACAAAAAGCTGGTTCTTTGAAAAGGTAAATAAAATTGATAGACCATTAGCAAGATTAACCAAGAGAAGAAGAGAGAAAATCCAAATAAGCTCAATAAGAAACAAAATGGGAGATATTACAACTGACACCACAGGAATACAAAAGATTACTCAAGGCTACTATGAACACCTTTACACGCATAAACTAGAAAACGTAGAAGAGATGGATAAATTCCTGGAAAGATATAACCCTCCTAGCTTTAATCAGGAAGAATTAGATATCCTGAATAGACCAATAACAAGCAGTGAGATTGAAATGGTAATTTAAAAGTTACCAAGAAAAAAAGTCCAGGACCAAATGGATTCACAGCAGAATTCTACCAGATATTCAAAGAAGAATTGGTATCAAGCCTATTGAAACTATTCCACAAGATAAAGAGATAACCCTCCCTAAATCATTCAATGAAGCCAGTATCACCCTCATACCAAAACCAGGAAAGGACATAACCAAAAAAGAAAACTACAGACCAATATCCCTGATGAACACAGATGTTAAAATCCTTAACAAAATACTCACTAACTGAATCCAACAACATATCAAAAAGATAATCCACCATGATCAAATGGGTTTCATGCCAGGGATGCAGAGACAGTTTAACATACACAAGTCAGTAAATGTGATACACCACATAAACAATTAAAAACAAAAATCACATGATCATCTCAAAAGATGCAGAAAAAGCATTCAACAAAATCCAGCATCGCTTTATGATTAAAACTCTCAGGAAAATTGGCATACAAGGGACATCTATGAAAAACCCACAGCCAACATAATACTGAATGGGGAAAAGTTGAAAGCATCCCCTCTGAGAACTGGAACAAGACAAGGATGCCCACTCTCACCACTCCTCTTCAACGTAGTACTGGAAGTCCTAGCCAGAGCAATCAGCCAACAGAAAGAAAGAAAGGTCATCCAAATCGATAAAGAGGAAGTCAAACTGTTGCTTTTTGTTGATGATAGGATCGTTTACCCAGAAAACTCTAAAGACTCCTCCAGAAGGCTCCTAGAACTGATAAAAGAATTCGGCAATATTTCCAGATACAAAATGTATGTACACAAATCAGCAGCTCTTCTATACACCAACAGCAACCAAGCTGAGAATCACATCAAGAACTCAACCCCCTTTACAATAGCTGAAAAAAAAATTTAGGAATATACCTAAATGAGGTGAAAGACGTCTACAAGGAAAACTATAAAACACTGCTGAAAGAAATAATAGATGACACAAACAAATGGAAACACATCCCATGCTCATGGATGGGTCGAATACATATTGTGAAAATGACAATACTGCTAAAAGCAATCTACAAATTCAACACAATTCCCATCAAAATATCACCATCATTCTTAACAGAATTAGAAAAAACAATTCTAAAATTCACATGGAACAAAAAAAAAAAAAAGCCCGCATAGCCAAAGCCAGAGTAAGCAAAAAGAACAAATCTGGAAGCATCACATTACCTGATTTCAAACTATACTATAAGGCCATAGTCACCAAAACAGAATGGCACTGGCATAAAAATAAGCACACAGACCAATGGAACAGAACAGAGAACCCAGAAATAACCCAAATGCTTACAGCCAACTGATCTTCAACAAAGCAAACAAAAACATAAAGTGGAGAAAGGACACCCTTTTCAACAAATGGTGTGGGGTAATTGGCTAGCCACATGTAGGAGAATGAAACTGGATCCTCATCTTTCACTTTATACAAAAATCAACCCAAGATTGATTAAGGACTTAAATCTAAGACCTGAAACTATAAAAATTCTAGAAGATAACATTAGAAAAACCCTTCTAGACACTGGCTTAGGCAAGGACTTCATGACCAAGAGCAAATGCACTAAAAACAAATATAAATTGCTGGGACTTCATTAAACTGAAGAGCTTTTGCATGGCAAAAGAATAGCAGCGTAAACAGCCCACAGAGTGGGAAAAAAATCTCCACAACCTATACATCTGACAAAGGACTAATATCCAGAATCTACAATGAACTCAAACAAATCAACAAGAAAAAAAAATCCCATCAAAAAGTGGACTAAGGACAATTCTCAAAAGAAGACATACAAATGGCCAACAAATATATGAAAAAATGCTCAACATCACTAATGATCAGGGAAATGCAAATCAAAACCACAATGTGATACCACCTTACTCCTGCAAGAATGGCCATAATCAAAAAATAGTAGATGTTGACATGGATGTGGTGATCAGGGAATACTTCTACACTGCTGGTGGGAATGTCAACTAGTACAATCACTATGGAAAACAATGTGGAGATTCCTTAAAGAACTAAAAGTAGAACTACCAGCAATTGATCCAGCAATCCCACTACTGGATATCTACCCAGAGGAAAAGAAGTGATTTTATGAAAAAGATACTTGCACATGCATGTTTATAGCAGCACAATTCGCAACTGAAAAAAATGTTGAAGCAACCCAAATGCCCATCAAACAACGAGTGGATAAAGAAATCGTGATGTATATATATATGAATACTGTATAGCCACAAAAAAGGAGTGAATTAATGGCATTCGCAGCAACCTGGATGAGATTGTAGACTATTATTCTAAGTGAAGTAACCCAGGTATGGAAAGCCAAACATTGCATGTTCTCACTCATAATTGGGAGCTAAGCTATGAGGACGCAAAGGCATAAGAATAATATAATGGACTTTGGAGACTGATAGAATTTGGCTGTGTCCCCACCCAAATCTCATCTTGAATTCCCATATGTTGTGGGAAGGACCCAGCAGGAGGTAACTGAATCACGGGGCAGGTCTTTCCTGTACTGTTCTCATGATAGTATATCTCATGAGATTTGATGGTTATTATATGGGGGAAGTTTTCCTGCACAAGCTTTCATTCTCTGTTTGCCTGCTGCCATCCACATAAGATGTGACTTGCTCTTCCTTGCCTTCCACCATGATTGTGAAGCTTCCCCAGCCATGTAAAACTGAGTTCTCCATTAAACCTCTTCCCTTTGTAAAGCCTTTCCTTTGCCCAGTCTTTCCTTTGCCCAGTCTTGGGTATGTCTTTATCAGCAATGTAAAAATTGACTAATACAGTAGATTGGTATTCAGTAGAGTGGGGTGCAACTTAAAAGATACCCAAAAATGTGGAAGCAACTTTGGAACTGAGTAACAGGCTGAGGTTGGAACAGTTTGGAGGGCTCAGAAGAGACAGAAAATTGTGGGAAAGTTTGGAACTTCCTGGAGATTTGTTGAATGGCTTTGACCAAAAGCCTGATAGCGATATGAACAATAAGGTCCAGGCTGAGGTGGTCTCAGATGGAGATGAGGAACTTGTTGGGAACTGGAACAAAGGTGACTCTTACGTTTTAGCAAAGAGACTGGTGGCATTTTTCCCCTGTTGTAGAGATATCTGGAACTTGGAGCTTGAGAGAGATGATTCAGGGTATCTTGCAGAAGAAATTTCTAAGCAGCAAAGCATTCAAGATGTGACTTGGGTGCTGTTAACGGCACTCAGTTTGATAAGGGAAACAGAGCATAAAAGTTCAAAAAATTTGCAGCCTGACAATGTGGTAGAAAAGAAAAACCCACTTTCTGAGGAGAAATTGAAGCCGGCTGCATAAATTTGCATAAATAACAAGGAGCTGAATATTAATCCTCTAGACAGTGGGGAAAATGTCTCCAGGGCATGTTAGAGGTCTTCACAGCAGCCCCTCCTATCACAGTCCTGGAAGCCTGGGAGAAAACAGTTTCATGGGCCAGGCCCAGGGTCCCTGTGTTGTGTGCAGTCTAGGGGCTTGGTTCTCTGCATCCCAGCCACTCCAGCTGTGACTGGAAGGAGCCAAGGTGCAGCTTGGGCTGTTACCCAAGGGTGGCGGCCCCAAGCCTTGGCAGCTTCCACGTGGTGTTGAGCCTGTAGGTGCACAGAAGTCAAGAATTAAAGTTTGGAAACCTCCACCTAGATTCCAGAAGATGTATGGAAATGCCTGGATGCCCAAGCAAAAGTCTGCTGCAGGGGTGGGGCCCTCACGGAGAATCTCTGCTGGGGCAGTGCAGAAGGGAAATGTGGGGTTGGAGCCCCCACACAGAGTTCCTCCTGGGGCACTGCCTAGTGGAGCAGTGAGAAGAGGGTCACAATCCTCCAGACTCCAGAATGGTAGATCCACAGACAGCTTGCACTGTGGGCCTGGAAAAGCTGCCGACACTCAATGCCATCCCATGAAAGCAGCCAGGAGGGAGGCTGTACCCTGCAAAGCCACAGGGGCTGAGCTGCCCAAGACCATGGGAATCCACCTCTTGCCTCAGTGTGATCTGGATGTGAGACATGGAGTCAAAGGAGATCATTTTGGAGCTTTAAGATTTGACTGCCCCACTGGATTTCAGATTTGCATGGGGTCTGTAGCCCCAGCATTTTGGCCAATGTCTCCTATTTAGAATGGCTGTATTTATCCAATGCCTGTAGCCCTACTCTATCTACGAAGTAACTAACTTGCTTTTGATTTTGCAGGCTTATAGGCAGAAGGGACTTGCCTTGTCTCAGATGAGACTTTGGACTGTGGGCTTTTGAGTTAATGCTGAAGTAAGACTTTGGGGGACTGTTGGGAAGGCATGATTGGTTTTGAAATGTGAGGACATGAGATTTGGGAGGGGCCAGGGGTGGAATGATATGGTCTGCCTGTGTCCCCACCCAAATCTCATCTTGTATTCCCATGTGTTGTGGGAGGGACTTGGTGGGCAGTAACTGCATCATGGGGGCAGGTCTTTCCTGTGTTGTTCTCATAATAGTAAGTCTCACAAAATCTGATGGTTAGTATAAGGGAGAGTTTTCCTGCACAAGCTCTCACTCTGTCGTTGCCTGCTGCCATCCACATAAGATGTGACTTGCTCCTTCTTGCCTTCTGCCATGATTGTGAGGCTTCCCCAGCCACGTGGAACTGTGAATTCTCCATTAAACCTCTTTCCTTTGTATGTTGCCCAGTCTCAGGTATGTCTTTATCAGAAGTGTGAAAATGGACTAATACAAGGACTTGGGGAAAGGGTGGGAAGGGAGTGAGGGATAAAATACTATAAATAGGGTGCAGTGTATATTGCTCGGGTGATGGGTACACCAAAATCTCGCAAATCACCACCAAAGAACTTATTAGTGTAACCAAACACCACCTGTTTCCCAATAACCTATGCAAATAAAATAAAATTTAAAAATTGCTACAGAAAAGGAAAAAAAAACCTGAATGCCAAGCTCCAAATCTCAGATAAATCCATGGACCGGATTGAGAACCTCTCTTCCCATTTGATGTGCTTTCCTCTGATTGACCCCCACCCTTCACCTATTTTACATATACCTACCCTTCCCTAATTGTTTTTTTTTACATTTTTACATTGTTGTTTCCATCTTTGAGTGGTGCCTTTGTTTTAGCCTTTTTTGCATACTCACAAACCAATCACCACACACTCCCCCATTCTGAGCCCATAAAAGCCCCAGACTTGGCCAGGTGCGGTGGCTCATGCCTGTAATCCCAGCACTTTGGGAGGCCGAGGTGGGCAGATCACAAGGTCAGGAGATTGAGACCATCCTGGCTAACACGGTGAAACCCCGTCTCTACTAAAAATACAAAAATTAGCCAGGCGTGGCAGCATGCGCCTGTAGTCCCAGCTGCTGGGGAGGCTGAGGCAGGAGAATAACATGAACCCGCGAGGCGGAGCTTGCAGTGAGCTGAGATCGCACCACTGCACTCCAGCCTGGGCGACAGAGCGAGACTCCATCCAAAAAAAAAAAAAGGCCCCGGACTCAGCCACACTTGCAGGGACTGCCCACCTTCAGGCACAGGGAGGACTACCTGATTTTGGGTAAGGGTAGTGCACCCAACTCGTGTCCCCCTCTCTGCTGAGAGCTGTTTTGTCACTCGATAAAATTCTCCGCCCTGCTCACTCTTTGGTTGTCTGCATAACCTCATTCTTCTTGGACGCGGGACAAGAACCTGGGACCCGCTGAACAGCAGGTGCAAAAAGGAGCTGTAACACTGTAGCCCTCCTTTACTCCCCTGATGCCAGCTGGCCCATGCAATGGGAGTGTTGGTGGGGCCAGGCCAGCCTGGGAGCCATGGGCCAGAGTGGGGTGATGGGAATAACTGAACAGAGGTCCTGCTGGCTAAAGAAGCTTCCAGCTGGCAAAGCAGCAACAACAACAAAAATCCTGCATCAACCTCGGTAAACACAGAAAAAGCTTTTGAAAAAAATCCAAAACCCTAAGAATATAAGGGAAATTTACCTGATAAAGGGCAACTACAAAAACCCACAGTTAACATACTCAATGGATACTTAATGGATCCTTCCTCACAACTGAGATCAGGAACACCCAGGGGCTGGGGATTTCACAAGATGTGAAGACCAGTAGGAAAGGGTGGGGTGCACTTTAGTGCACTATCTGCACACCACCCAACACTCCTACTTTCTTGAATGAGGAGACTGCAGTCCAGAGGGGCCTGGCTACTGTAAGCCTGGGCAAAGGCAGTGATGTCCCTGCTCAGGAATCCTTGGGTATTAGAGAAGCTGAGGCCTTTTCCACTCTCTGCCTTGCACAGTCAACTCTTGAGTGAGGGGGCTGGTACACCCAGAGGATGGTCACAATTCCTCTAGAGGTATAATCTAGGCAGACAGTGCTGTCTTGCTGATCTGGTGTTATTAACTTCCCTGAGGAAAAAAATCACCTGAATTCTTGTTTGATCAGTCTCACAGCTAAAAACCCCAGGGAGTCATGGTCCCACTTCAGACCTGGGGGGCCTGGTACTTGGGATATGTAGCAAGATCCCAGCAGAGTTTTGTGCAGTGAGCTGTAGGGGGCCATGGGACCCAATATGCCCTCTGCAGTGTCCCCCACCCCCTCACAGAAGAGGAAAAGTTCAGGAGTGGCCTCCTGAACACCTGAGACGCACCTCAGGGATCTGTATTTTAAATTAGGGGTGCTGGGGTAAGAAGACATAAGAAAAGCTCCTTCTAGCCCAGCCAAGTCTGGCCTCCTTCCTGCAAGGTTTAGATCCTGGGGGCTTTGGGCTATTTTCCTGAGAAGAATGCCAACCTCATCCTCAGCTCTCTGCTCAACATCCAGCCCTGTGTAAAAGCTCTAGGCTTGCCTCATGCTAACTTGCTTGAATAATGTGTATTTTCTGCACTCCTTCAGAGAGAGGCCAGCCCTTTTCTCCCTAAATGCAGTGAAAGGAGGTTGTGCCATTGTCTTGCCTGCCAGGTTGCTGGTGGACATGGCTGTAAGGGTCATAATTAAGGGGGGTCTCAGGACAGAGAGGCCAGGCATCCCTTGTGCTCACCCACCTGGTCCCCAAGGCAGCCCAGTTCTTGGTAAAGAAATACTGCCAGGCAATAGCTGGGCTCTTGTGGGACAGGGCTAGTGGAACCTACTTGGGTGTCTCCATTGCGAGCAGAACGTAATAGCTGTGTGTAGAAGGTCCCACTGGATGAAGGGCCAGTGGAACCTTCCTCTGATGCCCAAACACTTCCATCTATCTGCAATTACAAAAATCTGATTTGTGTCTGCACAAGATAAGGGTGGAATCCCTAAATTTAAGAACCCCAAAACAAAAGCAAACAAACCAAGGTGTCTCCCACAACTTCCTACGAAGTTTCCAAACTCTCTCCAGGGTCTTGGCTGGGGGCATGTGGGTTCAAGGGCCCCCATTTTGCCTTGGAGACCAGGATGGGGCCTCACAGGGCAGAGCTGCAGGGAACAGTAATGGGCCCATGGGCTCACAGGGTGTCATGCTGTGGAGACAAACTGCCCATAGTGGAGATACCCAAGTAGGGCCCCAGCCAGCCTGGGGGAAATTTGATTCCCTTGTTGGTTGCAAGAGGAGCAGGGTCTGGCTGAACAGGCCTGGGGCCCTGCAGAGGTGGGGATCTGGAACAGTAGACAAGAGAGAGCCAGAGCTTGACAGAGGGCCAGGGGAGCCCAGGATCACCAACTCTCCACTTCCGTCCTCACTGCTCCCTTTCCCCAGGCAGGGGCATGGGGTCAGGAGGGCACATAGTCCAGGGCTTGAGAGCCCAATAGCCTTCCTGCTGTCTCTGTCCCTGCTGGTGGGTACAGGTGGGGTATGTCCAGATACTGCCTGGGGGCCCAAGGCCTTACCCCCCGCAATCCAATTATTAGATGATGATTCCTCCTTTTGGTGGCAGGAAAGTCTGGCAATTGTGTTGCTTGTACTTCTGGCAGGGACAGCAGCCCCTGTAGAGGATGGTCCGCAGCGTCCAGAGATGGTGGGTTCCTGCAGCCCAACTTCTCAACAGCACCTTCTCACTGCAAGTCAACAAATGGGGTCCTCAGCTTGGCCCCAGGGTCTCCACCCTGAGAGACCAACACTGCTGGCAGGGCCAGATTTGCGAAGTGGCTGTGGCCCAGAATCTTGTGGATCAAACGGAGAAATTGATGGAGCACAGAAAATTTCTGTGGCTGAACTGGCCATGGAAATGGCAGCCTGGGCAACAGGTTCATGAAAACAGACTTTTCACACCTGGTCCTGCTCTCCAGGCCTGAGCGAACTCCATGTGTTCCTGGTCAAAGCTGGGGGCGGGTTTCCCCCACCCCCTTGCCCGGGCCCATCCCCTGTCCACCTGGGGATGCTGGAGGCAGCCTTTGGGGTAGGCCAGGCCTGTGCTGGCCACCAAGCTGTGGCGACTACCACCACCCACTCATGGAACTGGAAGGTGCCTCTGGGTGAGGGCGGGCCACACTCAGCTAGGGATTGCCAGGAGAGGACGGTTGGCATTTACAGCCTGGAACTAACGGCAGTTGATTGGATAAGTCCCCCCAGACCCCCTTTGGATGGTGGAGGAGCCCCCGTGTGCTCAGAAGCTGCCCTGGGAATCCCTGAGGGATGGTGCTGGAGCCAAGCTCCTTGGAGGACCAATGTTCTCCCTATCTGGTTTGGAAGCAGAGTAGGCTTCTGGGGACTTAGTCACTTTAGGATTCTTGGATCAGTGTGGGCAAAAGAGGCTCTGGAAGGGCCGATTCAACTTCCGGCCGAGGCGGCAGAGCATCCTCTGGGGAGGAATGCAGGTGGGAGGCGGGCACCCGAGCCAAGGGCAGCCCAGAGCTGCCCCCCGGCAGCAGCGCCCCTCCCGCCCCCCAACTTAAGGTCGCACCCTGGGCCTCCCAAGCTTGGTCTCCTGCCCGCCAGCCCAGAGCATGCACCAGGACCAGCTTTGCAGGGCCCGGTGCGAAATGAAAACATCGCCCTTTGGCCAAAAGTAACCACGAATTTCCAGAAGGCGAGAGCTGAGCGAGAAGTGAGCACAGGGCCCTGGGGACTCCCCAGGTGGCTAGATGTGAAGTGGCCTCGCTGGGTCCCCTCCGGCCTCTCCCAGGCCCCTCTCACCAACCCATCTCTCGGCCATCACAGCTGTGGTTCCTACCTCTGCCCCACCCAGCCTCGGGCCCTGCGAGCCTCCGGGCCTCCCACACTGCCTGGGACAGGCAGGACTTCCTGTTTTACCCGCTACTGTTCAGAAGGCACAGAGGGACCCTGAGGAACGTGAGCTTTCTGAGATGGAGGCCAAGGACCACGGGGAGCGCAGTGAACACCGGGAATGGGGCTGGTGGCCCAGCATGCATTGTGGAAAGGCACGTGACTGCCCGGGACCATTGGCAGCTCCCCTTCCTGGTGATTGGCTTAGGGAAGAACATGTGACCCAACAGGCCGGAAGTCCCCTGTGGAGTGGCTGGACGCCCCCGGGGAAGCCTCCCCCTAGCGGGGGCAGAAGGGAAGCCGCGTTTTTTGCTTGCGTTGCCTTTTGATGGCGCTGGATCGCTGTTGCTGCGCTTTTTTTTTTTTTGAGAAGGAGTCTTGCTCTGTCGCCCAGGCTGGAGTGCAGTGGCGCGATTTCGGCTCACTGCAACCTCCACCTCCCGGGTTCAAGCGATTCTCCTGCCTCAGCCTCCCAAGTAGCTGGGAATATAGGCACGCGCCACCACGCCAGGCTACTTTTTGTATTTTTGGTAGAGACGGGGTTTCACCATGTTGGTCAGGCTGGTCTCCAACTCCTGACCTTGTGATCCACCTGCCTCGGCCTCCCAAGCTGCGCTCTTTTTATTGAACGCAGGCCCTCGCGGTGGCTCAGAGCCCCCGGTAGTGCCCTCGGAAGCCGCATGTGCTGGAGGCACGTTGGAGGCAAGGATCCTGCAGCCGCGACTTGAATCGCATGGGTCACGGAGGCCACGCTGGAGCCCCCAGAGCTGGCTCGGATTGCGAGTTCTGATGGAGTTGCTTTTTCCAGGAGCGCTGCCAGCGCTGAGCGTTCACCTGGTGATCAGGCGCATCCCGGGAAGCAGGCCGAAGCCACCACGCCCTTGCAGGGCCACACCGGCCAACCAGCTGTTATCTGCATGGATGAGGAACGCATTTAAAGAACAGCAGTGTTTTCAAATAATGCTGGATAAGGCTTTGTTTTTTAAAGGTAGTGGAAGTTTTAAGGGTGCCCCGGGGTAATTTCTGTAGTCAGGGTTCCCTCCGGGTTAGGGTCTACACGGCCATGGCGGGCTGCACGGTGCACGCTTTATCACTGAGACCTGACTCCTAAGTTACTGTTAACAAGAGTCCCTGGGGCCAGTCAGCTTACACACAGGCCTAATATAGCAGAAAGAATGATGCAGGCCGTTAAAACAGCCTTTGGAAAGAGGTTTTCAATTTTTCAATCACAAAGCAAATCAAGCTTCCTAATTAGCTACAACACGGCTGGAAAGCTCAGCTCCTACTAGGCTGCAAGCCCTTGCTGTCTGCTTTCTTGCATGACCGTCTCTGTTACAGGAAAGGTTTGGCTGCTTTCTAATCTCACTCATGTTCAAAGAACTCGTGGCAGGCAGTAGTAACCATGGCAACAAAGGCCATGAATTCCTGGAAGTCACATTCGCCGTCTCCATCATTGTCCAGTGTTTCCATGACTTTGTCCACAACCTCCTGCTCTTTGATTTCCTAAGAGAGATAAAAGGAGTTGCCGACCTTGTTTTTAAATGGAATTTTGGACCATCAAAACATGATTAAAAGTTGAGTGACTCTGATAATTTGTGTCCGAAATAACCTAAGAACATCAAATGCAAAATATCAGAAAAGATGTCTCATGTGACCAGGGGGCTGTTGTCCAAGCAGAAATCTCTGGGGGTCAGTGTCTGGCCCTGAGCTACTGGAAAAGGCTGAATGGAACAGCCAAGAGGTGAAAAACTGAAGGTTGTTATCATACTTAAAATACCTGAAAAAAAAAAATACCATCTAGATCAGCCTGAGCAAATGTCTTGAAATAAAAATAAACTTTTGGCCCTCCTAAACTTTTCGTGTGTTCTGTGTGTGGAAGTCCCTGTCTCAAAGGCTTCCAGTGGAATTTAATGTTTTGAAAGTCTTCTTTGTTGCTGAAGTAACTCTTGGGAACGTGGCCTACATTTGTTAACCCTGTATTCTTTTTCCCACTTGAATTGCTTTCTAGGTGTCATGAAACTTTTTCCTGACAGTTCTGCCTGACATTGAAGCCAAATGAATGGTGTGGCTGTTAAGTGATGTGCACAGCCTCAGAGGAACAACCACAGTGCAGGGCTACAAACGTGGTGGGAAAAATTTGGGTATTGAACACTGATGAAGAGCATAAATGCAGAGTAACAATTCTCCGGGATAGGAAGGCTTGGCCTGAAGAAGTCAAGTGTAATGTACAACAGCTGCCTTGGCTATAAGACACACAGGGGTCAGGCACGGTGGCTCACACCTGTAATCCCAGCACTTTGGGAAGCTAAGGCAGGAGGATAACTTGAGCACAGGAAGTTTGAGACCAGCCTGGGCAACATAGGGAGACTCCATCTCTACAAAGAAAAAATAAAACAATTAGCTGGGCATGGTCCATGTGCCCGTATTCCCAGCTACTCAGGAGGCTGAGGCGGAGGATCGCTTGAGCCTGGGAGGTTGAGGCTGCAATGAGCCAAGATTGCACCACTGCACTCCAACCTGGGTGACTGAGCAAGACCTTATCTCAAAAACTAAAAAAGTAAACAAAACATACAGAAGATTGTAACTCCACGGGGGTAGAGGTGGGGAGGCACCTGTGGATGGGCAGGAGCAGGGCACTAACTTCAATTATATTATACATCTGCTTCCGAACTGAAATTACCTTGATAAAACAGGGCAGCAAATGTTTGTGATGCCTTGAAATGCTTACCATGAATTATTTATCATTTACAAATTGAAATTCCCAAGTGCAAAGCTTTTTCTATGTATAAAAATAATAATAGTAGCTACTATTAGTTGAGCTTTCACTATATGTTAAGCACTTAAGCACTGTCCCGCTTCACCCTCACAACAGCCCTTGTTCAGAAGAAGAACCTGGGACTCTCAGATCAAGTCAGAAGGCAAGATTGGTGGAACTAGAAAACTGCATGTGTGAGTGGGACTGCTGTCACTCTGTCGGCTTGAATGCCTGAGAAAACCAGTCCTGGAATCAGATGTGGGGACACCCTCTGCAAAGTTTCAGGCCTGTCTGCTCCACTCTGAACCATTCACGGTGGGGCAGTGTTTGGTGGGAGTGGGGACAGGAGAACCAGCCAGCGCCCCCTCCCCCTGCCCTGAAAACACGGACTGCCGTGCTGCTGGAGCCAGGGCTTGCCGTCTTGCACTGAGAGGCTTGGCCAGCTCAGGAGGGCAGCTCCCCGTCCCCATGCAGCAGAGCCCTGCCCTGGTATTTATCCTGGAATAGGGCTTGGTGAGACACTAGTGCGCTGGCTCATTGTCTGGTCATTTATCCCGTTTGTGATTGCTCATATCAGTGACCCAGGAAGCCCTTCACTACGTTTCATATGTGCACACCACTGGTGCTTCACTCTGGCTCAAGGCGTGCCTCAAGCCAGCCTTGGTTCTAAGAGAGCATCAGGTACCAGGGGGATCACAGTTCACTTCCATGAGGGCATGAGGTGGGCAGTAAAGACAGGTGGGTCTGATCCAAGGACAGTGGAGACGGTGGGTAGGAAAATGAGCCCTAATGCAAGGGTCTGGACATACTTCCACCACAAGCCACAGCGGGAACTGCCTGAAGAACAGGGCTTGCCAGGAGCCCCCACACAGCTTCCTAAAGTAGGGGCCCCAACTAAAGACAGTTCCTCACCAATATCCGTTACTCCACAGAGCCTCCTGCAAAGCCCCAGGGCTTCCAAAGGATGTGTACAGACCCCTGTCACGTCCTCAGTTAAGCCAGTCATGGTCATTCATCCATGTGCCAGGCTGGGTGCCCCAGAGCAGAAGCCATGTCTGTCGTGCCTGCATATCTCACAGTTCTTAATTAGTGCTCAGTCAGTGTTTACTGAGTGAAAGTCTGGCATATCTTATCTCCATAGCAAATACTAAACTTCTAGCTAAAGCCAAAATATATCCTTTTCCTAAAAACATTCCCAAAGCTTATTTTTAACAGTTTCCTTTTATGTTCCCTTTGGTCCATGGTAAGTAATGAGTCTAGCATTATTTGGGACGCTTTGGCCTTTGGGACCTTGATGCACCTACTGTACACAAGATGGTTGATAAGGAAATGAAAACAAGGGGCTCATTTGAGCCAGCCCCACACTGAGGGTTCCGTTACTCAAACAAGTTTGCAGAAGCAGCCCAGGAGTCTTGGAAGGGAAATGAAATCACCTTCAGGGCAGCTGAGAAGATAAAGCCAGTGTACAGATGGATTTTAAGAGGAGATGGAGAAAGTGTCAAGTTTAAAAAGCAAGACTCACCTCTAAGAAATGGGAAAGCTCATTGTTGATGAGCTCCTTCAGTTCGGATTTCTTCAGCTTGTGCTTGTCTCCCTCCCTTCCAGAATATTGGTGGAAAACGTCGATGAGGGCCACCATGGCCTTCTCCAGCTCAGACATCCTAGGGGCTCGCAAAGGAAAGTTGCCTTCTCATCTATACCTCATCCTAAAACATTTCATATGTTATCAATACAGACCTCAACCCAGACAAGGGGGATGGAATGGCCTTGGCACTCTTTTCAAGCTCAGAGCAGCAGGCATGGCCTGGAGGGGCATTCTGGGAATTTGCACTTTTATCATAATCCTTCCACCGGCCTCTTAGACAGCTGTGGGCCTGCCTTCTCTGTCCGTGTGGGCCACGGGGATATATTCCCATGCCCTCTGAATTCTGGCTGGGTTGGGCCAACAGGGAAACTGGCAAAAATACAGAGGCAGAGCAGCAAGGGAATTCAGGGATTAATTTCCCCTGAATTAATCCCCACAGGGTCCCTCTCTGTTCCTGCAAGGCTCCAAGATGAGGTGGTAGAGTGCAGGTGAGCAAACCATCAACTGCAAGCTGTTAAAATCAATCTGAAAGTGAGACAGTGACTAGGAGCAAAATAAGAAGACAAAAAATCAATAGCATTCCTATATTCTATCAGTAAAGAAGTAGAAAATACAGTGCAAAATATCCTATGCATATAGCAATAACATGTGATCTAAGACTAAGTTTAGGAAGAAAAACGTAGGTCCTTCCAAGAGATTCTGAGGAACATAAAATGTAGGAAGTTTTTCCTTTAAATTCATATGTAAATTTAAATCATTTTTAATAAAAACAATGGAATTTTTTTGGATGGGTGACATGACAAAAACAGCTGTAAAATTCATCAGGAAAAATAAATATGGTAGAATTGCCGCAATCTTTTTGAAGAATAACAGTGAAAGTTATTTGATCTACCAGGAAAAAAAAATGTATCCTAAGTTTAACTGATCAAATGGGTGTGGTTCTGTCGCAGGGAGGGACAGAATCCAGCAGAAAGCTGAGCTGCTGAGCCTGCATTCCACCTCCAGTGTACCGAAAGGGTGGCTCATTCACTGCAGTGACTGGGACGGCGGGAGGGGGTGGGGGCAGGAATAGGTGTTTCTCTGCAGCTGTCAAAGTAAGAGCCCCCCTACCTCCCTCACAGCAAGTACCTTACGCCACAGCCTACGAACCAAGGAAATATCTGGTCAGTCTGGGAATGAGGCGCATTTTACAAAGGTTGCCTTGTCAGTTGTTTCACAAAACAGATGCGCAGTCAGAGAAATTTACCAGCTTTTGGCCTTGAGTTCTAATCATTAAATAAGAACGTTTGCGCTGTCATAATTAAAAACAAATTAATAAATCAAATAGTGTTGAAAAATCATTCCCATGTTGAATATATAACTTACATCTTAAAAATAATTTGGAATTATTTTATTTATTTCTGATCCTCCGAAGGAAACAGGATTGAAGATTTTTTTATACTGGCCAGATCTTTGCTAAAGTCATTCTATTAATAATCAGTGTACTTTATTTTGCTCTTGAGTCCCTAAAAATTTGATAATTCACAAATAGAACAATTAAGATGGATTAAAATCTTTAACATTTCATGCTTTCTTATTCTTTGCACTCAAGTTTTCAATTATTGATATATGCATGTTTGTATGTGTGTGTATTTTTTTAAACAAAACAAGACACTTTTACATCATTCTGATGCTCCTCAAAGTCCATGATGATTTGGGGAAAAGGAGGTTAAATTGTTTTTCTATGAATTGTGACTAATGGGATTATTACAAAGGAAAGGCATAAAACATGTATCCCATATATTAGAACACTAATAGAAACCACTAGAAAATATGGTTTTCTTCATAACCACACTACAAATCAATTAAATTCTTGTTAAATTTTTCCCTTTGACCTAAGAAATAGTTGATGGTTTATAGTTTATCTTTTAAGAGAAATGGAAATAAATGTCCGTTTCTTTCTCACATTCTTTGAATGTCCTACATTAATCTTTTAATATTGAGAACAAGAGAACTTTTGAACTTTAACTCCTTAGAAAGACAAGTTACCTAGCGTGTGAGGATCCCTCTAAAGAAGGGGTTCGACCTCCCTGAGAAACTGTGAGACTGAGGAAAGTTAAAACCCACCAAAACCCCGATTTCTTTGACCCAATTTATTTGTAATTGTTACGTAATTTCTGAGTGGCGTCCTGGGGCTGTGGGGACCCTGGCACTTCAAACTGAGGGAAACTGGAAAACTGAAGAGTTACTTACCCAGGGCGGTGGAAGAAATATAAGGAGAAAAGGGAAGCATTTATTTATGATATAGGACTAAACTAGCATTAGGTTCTCCATCATTTTTAGCCCCAGTGGGAAGCAAAATCTTTACTCTTCAAATAGTTACAGAAGAGGCAGTATTTGTAGTACCGCTGGGAAAATGTCAACAATCACTTCTGGGCCATGAAACCTGACGTTTCTCTGATTTATGGCAAAACACACCTCTAGCTGTCTAGGGCTGATGCAGTCAGGTGTCCACAAAGCAGCAGTAATGTGGAGATTAAAACACATCATCCTATTGACACTTCTGAAATGCTGCCAATTGTCCTAAAGGGGCTTTTTAAGCTACCACTTAGTTTCTACCCCTCCATTCCGTTCCACCCAAAAGAAAAGAACCATTTCTTCCTGAGCGTCCTCTTGGCCTGGCTCTTTCTCACCTCTTCCTTGTCTCACCCCTTCCTGGTCTCCTTGCTGCAGGCGTCGTCTCTGCTGCGGGTCCTGGGCGGCAGGACTGGTGGGCAGAGGCAGCCTCTTATTCCCTCTGCCCAGGGAGGATGGATGAACCCTGGTGCAGCCCACTGCAGGCCGTGGCAGCCAATGGGAGCCGAAGGCGGGGGTGGCAGGGCTGCCAGGCCTGCACACAGGGCTGCATTGACCAAGCAGCCCCGGGGACTTGCTGGGAGCCAGGATTGCACATGGGCTGAGGAAGAAAAAAGGGCCTGTAGGGCAGGAAGTGGGGAGTCAGCTTTTTGTGCGATTTCTTTATTACATGAATATTGATGTCACCCTAAAGGCAAGGTTGGGGGTGGGGAGAGGAGAGAGACTTGGATTAATTGATTCAAACAAAGCAAATGTGCAGCCAAGAACAAGCAGCTTCCAAGTACAGGCTGAGCATAGGAGATTAAGTGGCCTGCAAGTTGGTTTCTAATGGAGAGGCCCCTGGAGCTTCTCTCCTCTGCCATCCTCCAAGTCTGGCCCCACTGGGCGTGAAGTTCTGTGGACAGTAGTGCTTGTCTGTGGTCAGCCCTGGGCTCAACGGGGCTGCCTCAGAGAAGCTGCTGAGGCCAGTGTCTGCAGGGACTAAAACGGGTGGTACTTTTAGGGGAAAACGTGATGTGTGGACTGTATCCCAAGGCCTTTCCCTCCACCCCAGGGTGGAAGGTCACAGACTCTCAGAGTTGGACGATGCCTTAGAGATGTCCCGTTCGAACGCTGTTTTACAGAGGCGTGTGGACGGTGTGCCCCCTTGCTGAAGCCTCCAGCCAGCCTGAGGAAGGAGAAGTCCAGCTGTCCCCTCAACTCGCTCGACTGGAGCCTCTGAACACGGGGGCCAGTTTATGGGTTCTTCTTCACAAGAATGAAGAAGTAGGTGTTCCTTCTGACAAATTACACAAGAACATTGGCCCAAACTCTCCAAAAATGTCCATGGTCCCCAATGGATGCCTGACCCAGCATCACGTCCTTCTCCCAACCCAGTTTCAAAGTGGCCGTGAAAGGGTTTCCCACAAGATATCTGTGTACATGGCTGTCTTGCTGTCATTGTTTTATCCAGGACGTTCTCTACCATTCAGGATCTGTAAGTGTGCCCTGGAAATAGCACAGGGCTGAGAGCTGTGGTCTTGCGTGGCTCAGCCTGCCCCAGCCTCCTGTGAGGAACAGCCTGAGCAGTGTGGTTGGCCCTCACTTCCTCATCGGCTTCACCACCCCTGGCTGTGGTCTCTGCTGAAGGATCTGACACAGGCTTGCTCTGTGAAGCACAGAGCTTGCCCAGGCCCAAGGAAGGCACAACTGTGCTCTGTGCCCCTTCCTCGCTCAGATGTTGGAGGGACCATTCCTGTAAGTGCTGACCACTTCCCCAGAGTGGCAGCCTGAGCTCTGGATTAACCCTTCAGTGTCCATAGAAAACGCTCTAGCCTGCTCCTGCAGGGGTTAAAAATAGTTTGAAATCCACTCATGCAATGACCGTACACCTGTGCTTAGGGCACTGCGTTCAGCAGGAGGGCCCAGCCGGGCCTGCCCTCTGCACACTGCAGCTTCCTGGGATGGCAAGTGTGGGGCCGTGGGTCCACCCTGTTCCCAGGTCTTGGAAGCAGGCTGAGAGAGAGGATCTGCCACAGGGAGGAAAAGGGCTTTCAAGCGCTCTGGGGCCCCAGGATGGTATTCTTTGCCCAGGCTCCCCAGGAGCTCGTGGATACAACCTCACCAGCTTCCCACAGATTCCTACAATTGCTGGGTCTGAATCTTGGCTCCACCATTTAACAGTGGTTTGACTTTGGATAAATTCCTAAGCCTTTCTGTGAAAGGGGTGACCGTAGTCCCTACTTTGCAGGGTTGTTCTGGGTGTTTTTCCCTGACCTTCACACTTCCTGATCACCCTGGCTTACCTGTCCTGACCCCTCAGTTTTAATCTTATCCCATTAGACTGGACAGCCACCAGATCCAATCATGTGTGACTCCCACATTCACCCACCCCCTGCAGCTACATTCCACAGGAAGACCCTTCGCTAAGTAATGAGAAATGCATTATTGAGTGAGTGGAACACCTGAAAAGTTCCATGGTCTGTAGCCTACATATGACCATGTGGATTGCTAGACTAGACCTCTGATTTCAGCGGGACGATAATATTTCAGAGTAGCAGGCTAAGACAAGGTGGGCATGTCAGCCATAAACAGCAGAAGGAACACACCGATAATCAGAATGCCTTGGTCCACAGAGATTTTTGGCAGTGGTGAATTGCTCACAGTGTTCCTTAGAATGAAGAGATGGACAGTCGCTAGAGTAGTCTTTAATCCACACAACAGGAAAACCTCTAGGTCTGGTCACCGAAGTACCTAACTTGAATCACCACAGTGGAGATCATGGGCTCTCTCCGAGTTTCCAGACCTAAGTTGGGTCAGACCTAGAGCATCTTGATTGAAGGGAGAAGCCAAGGCCCCTTGAGAAAGAATCTGTGCTAGTGAGAAAGAATACCATAAACCCTCTTCCACACCTTTTCTGAAGTGTCCTGCAGCCATCAACTAATGAAAAGGAAGTAACCTAGATGTCTCAGGGATTGCCTCAATTGACATAAATTCCTGGGAACCAAAAATGGCACTGTGGCTCACCAGTCAAAGCAGAAACTTGTGATGGTCAGTTCTTCACTTGATAGAGGTTCTAACATGAGACCGACTCACAGGGGGCCCAGTTGGTACACTATTCTCCCTATAGTTAGTTTTTCAGTTCCTGGTTGTATAATTGAAACAAACATACACTAGCTAAATCCCCTCACTGGCTCTCTTACGTATGAGATGAGGACCATGATGGTAGGAGAAGTTTAGTGAAAGTCCCAGAACTTCCCCTTCTTATCCAGAAATACTGAATCTCTGAAAGAGCTTTGGAGATTAATGCCACCATTAAAGGGTTGAAATAAGCAGGCACTGTGACACTTCTTACAAACCCATTTAACTGGCCACTTTGGCCTGTGCAGAACTCATATTGTTACCAGAAAAAGGGGTCTCGATCCAGATGTAAAGAGGGGATTCTTGGATCTCACGCAGGAAGGAATTCAAGGTGAGTTGCAGAGTGAAGTGAGAAGAGATAGTTTATTGAAAGCTCTTACATTCCATTACAGAGTAGGGCATCCTCAGAAAGCAAGTAGAGGAATGCACTGTCTTTAAGTGCATATATAGCTGTTTTGTCTATGTAAAGATTAAACTAAGCTGTGACTATATGCAGGCGAGCAGACAGCGTGGCAAAATTTATTATTCTATTGATTCAAAGAAAACTATCCTTAAGATTTTAGTGTGTGCGTACGTTAAAGCATAGCTCTTGTTATCTTGAAAGCGTATAGTGTTTGGGTATTGGGATGTCTGCACTCTCTGTTGTTGTAGCAGTGTGTCCTTGCAAGTATCGTTCAGCTGTTTCCTCAGCTATAAACATCTTAGGTCTATAGGTTTTGACTGCAAGAAATGTGCCTTGTTAATCTCAAAATGCAGCTGAACTTAAAGTGGCATTACTCTGACTCTCCTAGGCGCCTGCTTCCCTAACGATATGGATTATGAAGAATGTGGACTATTGCAAATGTAATCAGCTGGTGACTTCAATTACAGCTGCTGTACCAGATGAGAAATCTCTGCTGGAGAAAATCAACATATTCTCTGGCACTTTGCATGCAGGTACTGATCTTACTCATGCTTTTTTCTCAAACCAGTTTGCAAGGACCACCAGAAGCAGTTTACTTTTACCTGACAGGGTGAACAGTATACACTCACAGTGTTGCCTGAAGGACATGCCAGTTCTTCTGCTCTAAGCAATGATATTGTCTGCAGAGATCTAGTCATCTTGTCAGTTCACGCAACATTACACTGGTCCACTAATATTGACAATATTATGCTTATTGAATCTGAAAAAGAGGAAGTAGCAAAGGTGGGAGATGATCTCCACAAAACTTAGGGGCCCTCCACCTCAGTGAAGTTTCTAGCAGGTTCAGAGGTGTGGAATACGTTGAAATATCCCCTCCAAGTGAAAAACAAGTTGATGTATTTTGCGCCACCTCCTGTGAAAAAGAAACACAATATTCAGTTGGGCTTTGAGGATTTTAGATACAACGTTTATTATATTTGCATGTGCTACTTTCAGCCTATGAGGCTGGAAGTTTCAAATGGGGGTCAGAGAAAGTTTAGGCTGTAATGTAAGCTGCTTTACCACTTTGCTCATAGGATTCGGTAGATCCAGTGATATTTGAAGTGTCTGTGGCACATTGAAATGCAGTGTGGACCCTCTGACAAGCACCCATAGGAGAATTACAGCACAGAGCTCTGGGATTTTGGAGTAAGTCTACGTTCTCTTCTGCAGCTAACTGATCTCATTTTGAGAATCAGCATCTGGCTTGCTTTTGGGCCATAACCATGGGACATCAGGAGACCATGCAGCCTAAGTGCTATCTGGTCTACCTGGCCATAAAGTTGGGTGTGCATGTAACAGCAGGGTACCGTCACATGGAAATGATGTATGAAGCTGATCTTAGGCAAATGTGAAGGTGCAAAAAGTGCATGAGTGACTCAGATTCCTTTGACACCAACTCCTGTTACATTGCCTCCCCTCTCTCAATCCATGTCTATGGGCTCCTGGGATGTACCTTATAGCTAGTTGACCATGGAAGAAAAAAGTTCACCACTGGTTTACAGATGGGCTTGATATGTTGGTACTTCCCTGGATTGGACAGTCGCGGCACTGCAACCACAGTCAAGGATTATCTTGAAGGACAGTGGTGAAGGGAAATCTTCTCAGAGGGCAGAACTTTGAGCAGTACACTTAGTTGCTTACTATGTTTGGAGTGAGAAGTGGCTGAAAGTATGGATCAGTATTAATTCATCAGCAGTTGCTAAAGGTTTGGTTGGTTGGCAACTTCAAAGGAATAGGATTGGAAAATTGGTGACGAGGAAGGCTCTGAAAGAGGCATGTGATGGACCTCCCTGAAGGGGCTTATATTCCTGCTTCTAGTGGGACATGTGTGCTTTGTCTTGCTCCTGCTTCACAGCCCATCTGTGGTGCTTGTGCGTGTGTATATCTGGTGGTGCTCTGTTCCAGCCACATGTACAGAGAGGGCAGCCCTGGGTGACCTTGCAGCCTGGCCTGGGCCAGTGGCCGACCACTGCACACTCCAGAACTTCAGCTACCCAGCTCCTTCTGCATGTCCACCCACTGGCCTCAGCTTTCCTGTGCCCTGGGGTGTTGTTTCCTGCTGCACTGTCCAGGCTCACGTCCACAACTGGACCCTGACACCTTTAGTGCACCTAACCCCCAGCCTTGGCTCACCTGTGCTCTACAGGATTGTTTGAAGAACTGTAAATGCTTTGAGATTTTGTTCTGCTCACAAGCCAACAATGTAGAACATTATAGATGCTGGCAGAAGACATGAGGTTTGTGGGTCAGAGATTACTCATGGCAAAATTAGTAGCCAGCGTTTCATGTTCATGTTGGTTTCCTGTTGCCCCCATTTTGTCCCTTTGTCCCTCCACTATGATGCAGATGAGCCTAGATGAAGGCCTGCACATGCCACGAGTTGTGCTACAGTCGGCTACAGTCAGCAACACTGTGCTACAGTTGGCAACACTGAGCTTAGGGACTTGTGGATTTCATAGAGAGTGGTGATGAGACTTCTCTTTGTCCTTATTTCTGGATATTTCTCACTGCAAAAACAACTCTGAGAAGTGACCTGGGTAAATCGCTGTCAGGGCCTTGCATTCCTGGCTTACATAGCAACAGCCTGCAGGGATACTCAGTGCCATGGTAGTTGCCTATCCCAACCAGTGTTTTCCTGCTGCCTCACAATTGTGGACCAGCCCTGGCCTGGGCAACCAGCAAACTTTTCACACAAAGTATGAACCCTGGCCTTGGGGAGGGGGGTCCCTCTTCTGAGTGTGCCTTCCTTGGTTGTTCTCCCTCAAGCCCAAGGTACCCTTTAGATTTCTCTTTGTAGTTATTGTCCTATCATAGTTTTATCATTGTTTATGTTGAACTTTCCTGTTTAAATTACTGTGTGGTTTCTGTCTCTTGAGTGCACCCAGACTGATATATCAACTAACAAGAAAAATGAAAAGTTTGGTAAAATTTTGAAATCTTTTGTCAGTCTAAAATTATTCTTTAAAAATTAAAAAACCTGGCCGGGCGCGGTGGCTCACGCCTGTAATCCCAGCACTTTGGGAGGCCGAGGCAGGCAGATCACAAGGTCAGGAGATTGAGACCATCTCGGCTAACACGGTGAAACCCCGTCTCTACTAAAAAATACAAAAAATTAGCCGGGTGTGGTGGTGGGCGCCCGTAGTCCCAGCTACTCGGGAGGCTGAGGCAGGAGAATGGCGTGAACCAGGAAGGCAGAGCTTGCAGTGAGCCGAGATCGCGCCACTGCACTCCAGCCTGGGCGACAGAGCAAGACTCCATCTCAAAAAAAAAAAAAAAAAAAAAAAAAAATTTAAAAACCCATAATACTTGGAAAGAGTAAAGGTAGAAGGGACAAAATAAAACAATAACACTGATGTGTAATCAATACTTATTTGTTTCTTCTGCTTATTTTGGATTTAATTTGCTTGTTTTCTAGTTTCCTACAGTACAAGCTTACATTACTGACTTTATATTTTTCTTATTTTCTAACCCATGCATTCAATGCTGTCAGTTCCATTTTGAGCATGGCTTTTGCTGCATCCTTCAAATTTTGTTAAGTTGTATTTTCCTTTTTACTTAGTTCAAAATATTTTAAAATTTATCTTCAGATTTCTTCTTTGACCCATGTATTATTTAGAAGTGTGTTGCTTAATCTCCAAAGATTTTGGGATTTTCAGTTATCTTTCTGTTATTGATTTCTAGTTTAATTCCATTGTGGTCTCAGAGCATATGTTTTATAATTTTTATTCTTTTAAATCTGTTAGGGTGTGTTTTATGGCCCAGAATGTGTATCTTGGTGAGTGTTCCATGTGAGCTTGAAAAGAATGTATTTTCTACTGTTCTTGGATGATGTAGCCTGTAGCTGTCCATCATATTCAGTTGATTGATGATGCTGTTGAGTTCAATTGTATTCTTATTGATTTCACATCTGCTGGATCTGTTCATTTCTGATAGAAGGTTGCTGAAATTTTTAACTATAATAATGAATTCATCTATTTTTTCTTGCAGTTCTATCAGTTTTACCTTGTATATCTTAGCTCTGTCTTATTAATGCATACAAGTTAAAAATTGTTATGTCCTCTGGTAGTATTGACCCCTTTGTCATTATGTAATGCTCCTCTTAATCCATTATAATTTTCTTTGCTCTGAAATCTGCTTTGTCTGACGTTAATATAGCAACTGCCACTTTTTTGGATTCATGTTAGCATGGTGTATCTTTCTCCATCCATTTACTATTAAATTATATGTTTCTTTATATTTAAATTAGTTTTTTTTGTAGACAATATATAGTTTGGCCTTATTTTTGATCCACTGTGATAATCCCTATGTTTTAATTGGCATATTTAGATAATTGCTGTTCAAAGTAATTATTGATATAGTTGAATTAATATCTACCATATTTTTCACTGTTTTCTATTTGATGCCCTTGGTCTTGTTTTTGTCTTCCACACTTTTTCTGCCTTTTGTGGTTTTAAGTGAGCATTTTATATGATTCAGTTTTTCTTCTTTCTTAGCATATCAATTAATACTTCTTAAAAAATATTTTTAAGCGTTGCCTTAGAGTTTTTAATGTATGTTTACAGCTAATCCAAGTACACTTTCAAATTACACTATTATCACTTCTTGGATAGTGCAAGAACCTTATAATAACAAAAATGAGATTTACCATCACTATTCATTCTCTGGTGCTCTTCCTTTCTTCATATAGACCTGAGTTTCTTTTTTAAAAATGTTTAAGTTCAGGGGTATATGTGTGGGTTTATTATATAAGTAAACTTGTGTCATGGAGGTTTGTTGTACAGATTATTTTGTCATCCAGGTATTAAGCCTAGTACCCATTCATTATTTTCCTGATTCTCTCCCTCCTCTCACCTTCCACCCTCCAGTAAGCCCCAGTGTCTGTTTTTCCCCTCTATGTGTCCATGTGTTCTCATCATTTAGCTCCCACTTATAAGTGAGAATATGTGGTATTTGGTTTTCTGTTCCTGCATTAGTTTGCTTACGATAGTTTTTGCCTATATTCCTGCAAAGGACATGTTCTTGTTCTTTTTTATGCTTGCATAATATTTCGTGGTGTATATGTACCACATTTTCTTTACCGAGTCTACCACTGACGGGCATTTAGGTTGACTCCATGCCTTTGCTACCGTGAATAGTGCTGTAATGAACATCCACATGCATGTGTCATTATGATAGAATGATTTATATTCGTTTGGGTATAGACCCAGTAACAGGATTGCTGGGTTGAGTGGTAATTCTGTTTTTATGTCTTTAAGGAATCACCACACTGTTTTCCACAATGGTTGAACTAATTTACATTCCCGCCAACGGTGTACAAGCATTCCTTTTTCTCCGTAACCTTGGCAGCACCTGTTATTTTTTTACTTTTGTTTTGTTTTGTTTTTTGAGACGGAGTCTCGTTCTGGCTGGAGTGCAGTGACTCAATTTTGGTGCAGCCCAGGCTGGAGTGCAGTGACTCAATTTTTGCTCACTGCAACCTCCACCTCTTGGGTTCAAGCAATTCTCCTGCCTCAGCCTCCTGAGTAGCTGGGATTACAGGCACATGCCACCACGCCCGGCTAATTTTTGTATTTGTTTAATAGAGATGGGGTTTCACCATGTTGACCAGGCTGGTCTTGATCTCCTAACTCAGGTGATCCGCCCACCTCGGCCTCCCAAAGTGCTGGGATTACAGGTGTGAGCCACCGTGCCTGGCTATTTTTTGACCTTTTAATAGTAGCCATTCTGACTGCTGGGAGGTGGTATCTCACTGTGGTTTTGATTTGCATTTCTCTGACAGTCATCAGTGATGTTGAGTTGTTTTTCACATGCTTTTTGGCCACATGTATGTCTTCTTTTGAAAAGGGTCTGTTCATGTCCTTTACCCACTTTTTAATGGGATTGGGTTTGTGTGTGTGTGTAGATTTGTTTAAGTTCCTTATAGATGCTGGATATCAAATCTTTGTCAGAGGCGTGGTTTGCGAAAATTTTCTCCCATTCTGTTTACTTTGTTGATAGTTTTTGTGTGTGTGTGTGTGTGCTGTGTAGAAGCTCTTTCGTTTAATTAAATAGATCACATTTGTCAGTTTTTGCTTTTGTTGCAATTGCTTTTGGTGTCTTTATCACGAAATATTTGCCCATTCCTATGTCCTTAATGGTATTACCTAGGTTGTCTTCCAGGGTTTTTATAGTTTTGGATTTTACATGTAAATATTTCTGTATGTTGATTGTCGTTCACAAACAGGGTTAGTCTGACTTCCTCTCTTTCTATTTAGATGCCCTTTATTTCTTTCTTTTGCCTGATTGCTGTGGCCAGGACTTCCAATACTATTTTGAATAGGAGTGGTGAGAAAGGGCATCCTTGTCTTGTGCCAGTTTTCGAGGGGAGTGCTTCCAGCTTTTGCCCATTTAGTATGATGTTGGCTGTGGGTTTGTCATAGATGGCTTGTATTATTTTGAGGTATGTTCCTTCAATATCTAGTTTATTGAGAGTTTTTAACATGAAATGGTGTTGAATTTTATCAAAAGGCATTTCAGCATCTATTGAGATGATCATGTGGTTTTTGTCTTTAGTTCTGTTTGTTTGATAAATCACATTTATTGATTTGCCTGTGTTGATCTAACCTTGCATCCCAGGGATAAAGCCTCCTTGATCATGGTGGATAAGCTTTTTGATGTGCTGCTGGATTCAGTTTGCTAGTATTTTGTTGAGGATTTTTGCATCAATGTTCATCAAGGATTTTGGCCTAAAGTTTTTTTTTTCTTGTTGTGTCTCTGCCAGATTTTGGTATTATGATGATACTGGCCTCATAGAATGAGTTAGGGAGGAGTCCCCCCTTCTCAATTTTTTGGAATAGGTTCAGCAGGAATGGTACTAGCTCTTCTTTATACTTCTGGTAGAATACAGCTGTGAATCCATCTGGTCCTGGACTTTTTTTGGTTGGTAGCCTATTTATTCCTGATTCAATTTCAGAGCTTGTTATTGATCTGTTCAGGGAATCAATTTATTTCTGGTTCAGTCTTGGGAGGGTGTATATATCCAGGAATGTATCCATTTCTTCCGTATTTTCTAGTTTGCATAGAGGTGTTCATAATATTCTCTGATGGTTATTTGTACTTCTGTAGGGTTAGTGGTAATATCCCCTTTGTCATTTCTGATTGTGTTTATTTGGATCTTCTCTCTCTTCTTCTTTATTAGTCTAGCTAGTGGTCTATTTTATTAATTTTTTTAAAAAACCAACCCCTGGATTTGTTGATCTTTTGGATGGTTTTTTGTGTCTCAGTCTCCTTCAGTTCAGCTCTGATTTTGGTTATATCTTGTCTTCTGCTAGTTTTGGGGTTGATTTGCTCTTGGTTCTCTAGTTCTTTTAGTTGCGGTGTTAGGTTGTTTGATTGCAAGCATTCTAACTTTTTGATGTGGACATTTATTGCTAAAAATTTCCCTCTTAACACTGCCTTAGCTGTGTCCAAGAGAGTCTAGTATGTTGTACCTTTGTTTTTATTAGTTTCAAAGAACTTCTTGATTTCTGCCTTAATTTCTTTATTTACCCAAAGGTCATTCAGGAGCAGGTTATTCAATTTTCATATAATTGCATGGTTTTGAGCAATTTTCTTTCTTTCTTTTTCTTTTTTTGAGATGGAGTTTTAGTCCATCACCCAGGCTGGAGTGCAGAGAGGCAATCTCGGCTCACTGCAACCTCCACCTCCTGGGTTCAAGCAATCTTCCCACCTCAGCCTCCTGAGTAGCTGGGATTACAGGCATGTGCCACCATACCTGGCTCATTTTTGTATTTTTAGTAGAGACAGGGTTTCACCATGTTGGACAGGCTGGTCTTAAACTTTTGACCTAAAGTGATCCATCCGCCTCAGCTTCCCAAAGTGTTGAGATTATAGGCGTAAGCCACCCCACCTGGCCTTGAGCAATTTTCTTGTGCTGTGGTCCAAGAGAGTGGTTGTTATGATTTTAGTTCTTTTGCACTTGCTGAGGAGTGTTTTATGTCTTATTATGTGGTTGATTTTAGAGTATGTGCATGTGGTGATGACAAGAATGTCTATTCTGTTGCTTTAGGGTGGAGAGTTCTGTAGATGTCTATCAGGTCCATTTACTCCAGTGCTGAGTTTAGGTCCTGAATATCTTTGGTAATTTTCTGCCTCAATGATCTGTCTAGTACTGTCAGCAGGGTGTTGAAGTCTCCCACTATTATTGTGTGGGAGTGTTAAGTCTCTTTGAAGTGCTCTAAGAACTTGCTTTATGAATCTGGGTGCTCCTGTGCTTGGTATAGATATGTGTGTGTGTGTGTGTGTATATATATATATATATATATATATTTAGGATAGTTAGGTCTTCCTGTTGAACTGAACCCTTTAGCATTTTGTATGCCCTTCTTTGTCTTTTTTGAGTTTTGTTGGTTTAAAATCTTTTTTGCCTGAAATTAGGATTGCAACTCCTACTTTTTTCAGTTTTCCATTTGCTTGGTAGATTTTTACCCATCCCTTTATTTTGAGCCAGTGGGTGTCACTGCATGTGAGATGGGTTTCTTGATGACAGCATACTATTGGGTCTTGGTTCTTTATTGAGCTTGCCACTCTGAGTCCTTTAAGTGGGGATTTAGCCCATTTACATTCAAGGTTAGTATTAATATGTGTGGATTTGATCCTGTCATCATGATGTTAGCTTAGACCTGAGTTTCTAAAATATCATTTTTCCTTTCTCTGGAGAACTTCTTTTAACATTTCTTCAGATTTATTAGCAACAATGTTTGTTTGTCTTAGAAAGTCTATTTCTCCTTTACTTTTGAAGGACAGTTTTGCAGACCGCAGAATTCTAGGTTGGTGGGTGTATTAGTCTGTTCTTACACTGCTAATAAAGACATACCTGAGACTGGGTAATTTATAAAGGAAAGAGGTTTAATTGACTCACAGTTTAGCATGGCTGGGGAGGCCTCAGGAAACTTACAACCATGGCAGAAGGGGAAGCAAACACATCCTTCTTCACATGGAGGCAGCAAGGAGAAGTGCCGAACAAAAGAGGAAAAAGCCCCTTATAAAACCTTCAGATCTCATGAGAACTCACTCACTATCTTGAGAACAGCAGCGTGGAGGTAACTGCCCCCTATGATTTAATTACTTCCCACCAGGTCCTTCCCATGACACATGGGGATTACAATACAAGATGAGATATGGGTGGGAACACAGCCAAACCATATCAGAGGGTTTATTTTTACAACACTTTAAATATAACCATGTGTCATGTAACAACATTTTGGTCAATGGCAGATTGCATATGCGATGGTAGCCTCATAGATTATAATGGAACTGAAAAATTTCTATTGCCTAGTGATGTTGTAGCCATCAAAACATTGTAGTGCAATGCATTACTCATGTGTCTGTGGTTATAGTGGTATAAACAAACCTACTGTGCTACCAGTCACATAAAAGTATAGTACATCAAATTATGTACGATACGTAATACTTGACAATGATCATAAATGACCATCTTACTGGTTTATGTATTTACTATACAATACATTTTATTATTTTAGATGGTACTCTTTCTATCTATCTATCTATCTATCTATCTATCTATCTATCTATCTATCATCTATCTATCTATCTATGTAAAGTTAGTTAACAGTTAGTTACCAGTAAAATAGCCTCGAGCAGGTCCTTTGGGACATATTCTAGAACAAGGTGCCGTTATCATAGAGAATGACAGCTCCATATGTCTCATTGTCCTTGAAGACCTTCCAGGGGGAAAAGATGTGATGTAGAGGTGGAAGACAGTGATATTGATGGTTCTGACCTGTGTAGGCTTAGGCTAATGTGTTTGTGTTTCAGTTAAAAAAAGAGTTTAAAAAGTAAAAAATTTAAAAATTGTTAAAAATGGAAACAAGCTTATAGATTAAAGATATAAAGAAAGAAAATATTTTTGTATAGCTATACGATGTGTTTGTATTTTAAGCTAAGTGTTATTACAAATGAGTCAATGAGAAAAAAAGTTTATAAAGTAAATAAGTTATGGTAAGCTAAGTTTAATTTATTATTGAAGAAAGAATAATTTTGTTTTGTTTTTGTTTTTGTGACAGAGTCTTGCTCAGTTGCCCAGGCTGGAGTGCAGTGGTGCAATCTTGGCTCACTACAACCTCCACCTCCCAAATTCAAGCGATTCTCCTGCCTCAGCCTCCCAAGCAGCTGGGATTACAAGCATGCGCAACCAAACCTGGCTAATTTTTGTATTTTTAGTAGAGACGGGGTTTGACCATGTTGGCCAGTCTGGTCTCGAACTCCTGACCTCAAGTGATCCACCCACCTCGGCCTCCCAAAGTGCTGAGATTACAGACTTAAACCACCATGCCCGGCAAGGATATTTTAAATATTTTAAAATAAATTTAATGTATGACTGGCTGCAGAGGCTTAAGCTTCTAATCCTAGCACCTTGGGAGGCCGAGGCAGGAAGATTGCTTGAGTTCAGAACAGCCTGGAGTTCAAGAACAGCCTGGGCAATGCAGCGAGACCTTGTCTCTAAAATAAATAAATAAATAAATTTAGCACAGCTTAAGTGTACAGTGCTTATAAGCCTACAGTAGAGTACAGTGGTGCTTATAAGTCTGCAGTAGAGTACAGTAATGCTTGCAAGCCTACAGTAGAGTACAGAAATGCTTATAAGTCTGCAGTAGAGTACAGTAATGTCCTGGGCATTCACACTCACTCACCACTCAAGCACTAACTCACCCAGAACAACTTCCAGTTCTGCAAACTCTGTTCATCGTAAATGCCTTATATGGGTATATCATTAAAAATCTTTTATATCATATTTTTACTGTACTGTTTCTATGTTTAGACATAAAAATACTTACTATTGTGTTTCATTGCCTACGGTATCCAGTAGTAACATATTGGACAAGTTTGTAACCTAGAAGCAACAGGCTGTATCATACAGCCTAGGTATATAGCAGGCTGTACCAGCTAGGTTTGTGTAACTGCACTGTATGATGTTTGCGTAAGGACAAAATTGCCTAATGAAACATTTCTCAGTATGTATCCCCATCATTAAGTGATATATGACTCTATTTCATTCCATCTTCTTCTCGCTTGCATAGTTTTTCAGGAGAAGTTAGATGTAATTTTTATCTTGCTTCTCTATGGTAACGTGTTTATTTTCTCTGGTTTCTTTTGAGATTTTTCCTTTAACTATGATTTTGTGAAGCTTGAATGTGATATGCCTAGTTTTGGGGGAAGGGCATTTATCCTATTTGTGTTCTCTGAGCTTCCTGGAGCTGTGATTTGGTGTCTCACATTAATCTTGGGGAAATTCTCAGTCATTATTGCTTCACATATTGCTTCTGTTCCTTTCTCTCTTTCTTCTTTTATTCTCATTATGTGTATGTTACACCTTTCGCAGCTATCCCATAGTTCTAGGATATTATGTTCTGCTTTTCCCGCTCAGCTTTTATTCTCTTTGTTTTTTAGTTTTGGAAGTTTTTATTGTCATGTTCTCCAGCTCTCAGAGATTTTTTCCTCGGCCATGAGTCTACCGATGACTCCATCAAAGGGATTCTTCCTTTCTGTTACAATGGTTTTAAAACTCTAGCATTTATTTTTGATTATTTCTTAGAATTTCCATCTTTCTGCTTTTGTTGCCCATCCACTCTTGCATGCCATCTGCTTTTTCTGTTAAATCCCTTAACATATTACTCATAGCTTTTCAAAATTCCTGGTTTGATAATTTCAGCATTCCTGCCATATCTGACTCTGCTTGTGATGCTTTTTTAGGCTCTTCAAACTAGTTTTTGTCTTTTAGTGTGCCTTGTCATGTTTTTTGAAGGCTGGAAATGAAATCTGGCTAGAAGGAACTGCTGTAAAAAGACCTTTAGTGATGCGGTGGTAGGTGCGGGGGAGGGAAAGCATTCTACAGTCCTATGAGTAGGTCTAGGTCTGTGGTGACTCTGCCCCCTTGAATTGTGACCTTCACAAGTGCTCCCCCATCCTGTGAGTGGAACAGGATGGCTGTAGGGGGCTGAAATTGTGTATTTCCCTTCACCTGCATGAAAGTCCAGAGCCACCTGGAGTAGGTAGGTCAGGCTCTGATGTAACCCAGCCAGTTTGGCTCCTGAGGACAGGCATTGTTAAGAACAGAATGCCCTATCTCAAGATGTTTTCTTTTTTCTTCCCCCTGCTGAAGCACAAGGGGATCTTTCTCCAATATCCACTGTGAGGACCTGGTCGAGCTCCTGGAGGTAAAATTCACAAAAGTGTAGGGGCCCTCAGGACGGGGGTCCCCCTGGAGGTTTTTGTCCCTCAGACTTGCCACACTGAGCCTCCAGCAATTTTTCGGGTTTTCCTACCCTGGCACTGGAGGTTTCTGCTGGAGATAAGTTGTGATTCTCTCTCCCCACCTGTCTGTCTCTCCAATGTTGGGAACAATAGTTTGTCTTGTGACCTCACTTCTCTACTGGATCTAAGAGGGGCTGTTAATTTTTCAGTTTGTTCAGCTTTTTACTTGCTGTTAGGATGGAGCAAAGATTTCTTAGCTCCTTACATGTTGAACTGGAAACCAAAAATGAGTAGTTACTTTCTGAAGATATAAAATCCCCAGAGTAATATAATAAGACATCACAAATGTCACTAGTCCACCTGTAAAATAATGTGTACTACTTCTTCCTCCCAATAATAAAAAAGCTTGAGGAGACAACAAGGGTGCCAACAGGCAGCTGGTTGCTGGAGGGCGATCACCACGGTGTTTCCCAGGAGAGTGAGACCATGCACTCTTTGGCTTGGGAAGAAGGGTGCCATTGTGAGCAACGCTGCCATGACTCTGCGAATGCCCAGGACATTACTGTACTAGCCAAGAGCTATCACTTGACTCGTGGTCATGGCGTTGTGGAGAGCTGCCTGGCATTGCAGCCTGTGAAACTGTGGAGGTAATTGGGAGGGGGTGATGGAGGCTCAAGGCCCATGGTGTCTAGTCTACCGCACCTTGAATGCCAAAGGCACCCATGTGGTTCACCCTCTGTCTACTCTGCAGATGGAGGGAAATGAGATGATGTAGCTCCAGGTTCCCAGACGACAACCTGCCATGACAGGAAGGGGCTCTCCTTCCCAAGCAACAGTGCTGCCTGCCCAGGCCAGAGCACGAAGGAGCTTGTGGGTCAACAGGGGCCTCTATTTGAATATATCAATCTTCTGTTAAGATCTTCTTCAGTCACTTGGATGTCCCTTCTCCCTTCATCCATTCAGCAAACTCTTGGCTCCAATCAACTAGGCAGCCAGCCCCGGGCCTTGCTGGGGCTGGTCAGGGGGTGGGAAGGGGTCATTCCAGAAAGGCCTGGGCAGCAACATTGTTTTCTCCCACAAAGGACGGTGCCATCCGCCACCAAGCCACTCACGAGGCTGACTCCAGTGACCGATGGCCACAGGCAGAAAAGGAGGCTTGTGTTCTAAAGGAATGTGAGGAAGAGACAAAAAGCTTCTGTTGTAGCAAATGCAAGTATTGATGCAATGAGAACTCACTGCCTTTCCTGTTCTAAAGAATGCCACTCCCAGCCAGCAGGCAGCCATGGGGTCAGGGCTTGGGTGCTGGGGCCTTGGAGCTGGATTCAGATCCGACCTCTGAACAAACCTTGTCAAACGACAACCTTTCTCAGGCTGAGTAAAAGACAGAAAAAAAGCTGCACCCCTGAGAGGGCTGTAGGAGGAGTAAAGGAAATTGACACGCACATACATGTGCACACATACAGACACACGTGAAGGGCCCAATGCACTCACTTGGGAGTCATTATTATTATTATAAAAGTTACTGTTCTTGTCTGCAGAACCTGGAGCTGGCAGGAGTCAGACTGGGCAAAGCAAAGAACAGCAAATAGCAGAGGGACAGAGACTTCTTTCTGAGCCAGATATATTAGGTCTAAAAGGGCAGAGTGAACCTACTGGCTACTTTAGAATACTCTAAATCCAGGAGGCCCCCAATCTGGCAAATTAAGGCAGAATATCAGCATTTCATGGGTATCACATTTTATTATTTTTGAACTATGTCAAATTCCATTAATTCATTTGGGTTCTAACCAGTCATTCCAAAGTCCATGCTCCCTTCCAGAAGTGCAGGCCCAGCATGAGCTGAGCCGGGGGCAGAGCAGGAGCACCGCTGTTTGCCCTGGGTCCATGGCAACGCCAGAGCCCAGCTCAACACAGCAGGGCTTTTGTTTTCATTTTTCAACTTTTTTTGAGGCCTTGAGAAGGAAGTGGAGATTGGAGTGTGAAGAGCCCACCCCACACAAAGCCGCTTTTCATGGCACTTGCTGTGCCTGTGGTTTCTTGCTCAGGAACTGAGTCTTGGTGAAATATAAGAGGAAGTGTTTGAACTGATGCTGGGGCAAGATCTCAAAAGGAAAACTGAGTTTTCCCTTTTGTAGAACTCTGTCACAGATATTTATTTTGATTATGCTTTTTATAACTTTTAAGGATTCTTGGAAATTTGCAATAAAATCATGTCAGGTTTAAATGTTTAAAAAATCATAGGATTAGCCTATTTGTTTTTTCACTCAACAGGAGTGTTTTTCATTTGACGACTTCAGAAGATCCCACGTCTTACAGCCCGTCCCTTCCTGTAGGACGCTGTGGGCCAGGACAGCACAGTACTCGGCCACATGCCCAAATGAGCAGCCACAAAAGTCTAATCAATCGATTGTTCAAACTGCTTAACTCACATCTGTAATCCCAGCACTTTGGAAGGCTGAGGCGGGCGGATCACTTGAGGTCAGGAGTTTGAGACCAGCCTGGGCAACATTGTGAAACCCTGTCTCTACTAAAAATACAAAAATTAGCCAGGTGTGGTGGCGCATGCTTGTAGTCCCAGCTACTTGGGAGGCTGAGGCAGGAGGATCCCTTGAACTCGGGATATGGAGGTTGCAGTGAGCAGAGATCCTGCTACTGCACTCCAGCCTGGGTCACAGAGATTCTGTCTCAAAAAAACAAAGAAAAACAAACAAACAAACTCTACTTAACAAGTGAGGATGCTCACGCCTTGACTGTAAAAATGCCTGCGTGGAATTGAACCACCTCGACAGCAACGACCCAGGAGGTGGAAATGAGTTGTTTTATTTTAGAGATTTAAATAAAGAACATACCAAACGTATGAGAGAAGAGGAAAGCTGAGAACCTAAAATCTGGACGCTCGGTTGGGCACAGTGGCTCACGCCTGTAATCCTAGCACTTTGGGAGGCCGAGGTGGGCAGATCACCTGAGGTTAGGAGTTCAAGACCAGCCTGGCCAACACGGTAAAACCCCATCTCTACTAAAAATACAAAAAAAATTAGCCAGGTGCCTGTAATCCCAGCTGCTGGAGAGGCTAAGGCAGGAGAATTGCTTGAACCCAGGAGGCAGAGGTTGCAGTGAGCTGAGACTGCACCATTGCACTCCAGCCTGGGCAACAAGAATGAAACTCCGTCTAAATATATAAATATAATTTTAAAAAATCTGGAAGCTCAATCCCTAGCAGTTTTGCTACTGCAGAACAATAACCTCTTTTGCTTTTGAAAAACAAACTTCAAGTTAAAAACACTGTGAATAACCTGGCACTATATTTCAATTTTTAGTGTAACTGGAATACATCCACAGGTATATTTAGCATCTAGTAGTTCTATTGAGTGCTAATGTAAATAAAATTTAAATCATAGGAGGAATAAACTATTTTTGGAATTAAAACTTAAGACAGACTCCATAATAAAATCAAATAATTTGATGTAATTCCTGTAACATATGTACTAACATTAAGTTCAACATTTAAAATTAATTATCTGTTATTGTGTATTAATTTAGAAAATTAATTGCAATCTTCTGAACTCTGCCTTTGGGGCTCCCTGGAACGAGGCCCAGGGGCCGTGTTTGCCTGAGTCGCATGCATGCACCTCCCTTCCCCAGGCGAGGCCCACTTGGCTGCGCGCCTCCCCACAGCGGGGACCATGAGATGCAGAGGCAGACAAGGACAGCGTCTTGGTGATCACAACTTTTAAAACGAAAAACTCAGATGCCCAGGATGAGAGAGCGCACACCCCGTGCTGATGCCCCACCCTGAACTTGCTGCTGCTGTGATGATGGCCACAGAAGGACAGCTGTTCACGGAGCCCTGGCCGAGCTCGCTCTGTCCTCAGCCTGTGCGGCTGGCCAGGTCCCTTGGCCGTAGGAAGGCTCCAGAGGCCTCTTTGGGTAGGAGAGTGTGGGGGATGGGTCAGTTGCTCAGCACACCAAGGAGCCAGGCCTCACAGGGACTCTTTTAGGGTCCCTAGATTTTGCAACTCAAGTGACAACCACTCCTGCCCCTGGAGTGTTGATTTGTGTGCTCCAATGCCCCCCAACATGTTGGCCGTCAGGTGCCCTGCCAGGCCCTGCGTGTTCAGTGTGCTCTGGTTCCTGGGAGGAAGGTAAGACACTGAGTTCTGAACTCTGGAGGTGGAAGGGGGCTCCTTGGACAGTCACCTGATTAAGCACAGCCCTGACCCCATCCTGGTCACAGGGGTGTGAGTCTCCAAGGACAGGGCTCCAGAGCACCGTGTGATAAGTCACATGCAAAGGAAACCTGGGCAATGGCATAAATGAGGACCTCCCCTTAGCAGGGAAAGGAGCTTAGCAGCCTTCGGAGCCTCAGCCTGCATAGGAAACGCATGTTTCTCCATCATGATGGGGGAAACTGAGGCTCAGGTTGTATCACTCAGTGTCAAAGCCAGGATTTGAACCTGGGCCTGCCTCCAGAGTCCAAGTCCCAACCACATGAAATGCTGCTGTCGTGGATCGGAGCAGGAGGAAATGCCCTGCTCTGACTCAAGGAGGTGCTTGGACTCTGCTTGTTTTTGTTTTTGAAACAGAGTCTTGCTCTATTGTCCAGACTGGAGTGCAGTGGTGCAATCTCAGCTCACTGCAGCCTCCTTCTCTAGGGTTCAAGTGATTCTTGTAACTCATCTCCTGAGTAGCTGGGATTACAGACATGCACCGCCACGCCTGGCTAATTTTTGTAATTTTAGTAGAGATGGGGTTTCACCATGTTGGCCAGGCTGCTCGAACTCCTGGCCTCAAGCGATCCACTTGCCTTAGCCTTCCAAAATGTTGGGATTACAGGCATGAGCCACCATGCCCAGCCAGACTCCACTTCCTGATGAAATGGCAAGAGAAGAGCATGTGGGGAGGATTGCAGACCTTGCTATGACCAACTTTGGAAAACACATTCTGCCCTCTGGCTGCACCCCCTACACATGCAAAATAGACTCACCCAGACACCCATGGTCTCGTGCCATTATGGCAGCCAGAGCTCCAGGTCTCACCACTTAACCATCTCCATGCGGGGTGAGGCTCCATGGGCACGGCTCCTCAGGCACAGCCTCTTCGATGTGTTTCCTTTTCAATCCACAGACTTGTGACCTCAAGAGCCAAGCACCTGGCCCAACCTCTTCACCCTATGTCTAATGGGGATGGGGATAGGACAGACACCTTGGCCCCTGCCACTCAGAAGGGGGAAACTGAGGCAAAAAGCAGGCAGTCTGCAGAGATTCTGAAATCCAACCTGACCCAGGTCAACAGGTCTGTGATTAGGGTGCAGTGTTGCTACAGGGACTGATTCTCTAGGCACCTGAGAAGAAAATAAAAGCCAGCTTGGATTAAAAGAACCAGATAGTACAAAATGAAAGGAGGCCAGTGGGCCCCTGAATTTCTACAGGCTAAGAAGACTGCTTAACCACAAACACAGGCTGCTTTTATTTTTCTAGTACAATTCCTTTAATAACTTTGTGGGTTTTCTATAAATTTTATTGATGTTCACTCCATTAGACAAAACCTGCACCGCAGATCTCTTTTAAATAGACCATTTTCTATTCAGGGCTCCCTGTGAGGCTGTTGTGGAACAATGCTGTTAAGATTCCCAGAAGGTCTCCTTAATAGGGGCCTGGGAGGCACATGTGTACCATCCCTGGGAGGCCCTTTGCCTCTGAAAAGGCTGGTGAGACACCAGTTGAACTCTTTCTGCATCTTAATGGAGGGTTTTATAATCCCACTCTTGGCTTCATGTCTGCTCTGAACCCACATATTCCCTACAGGGCTGTGGGTCCCAACTTTGCCCTGAGCCCTCTCATTCTTTGAGAATCTTCTGCTGGGAGAAACTGGGGATGAAAATTAGTTTCATTTTTGAGCCCAGCAAATCCTGGCTCCTTCATGTCTTTATAAGTTCTGTTTGAAAACCCCATCATTCCTTCTCCAGTGCCTCTCTCCCTAATCATTTCTCATGATGTGCAGGTGAAAGAAGCCAGTCATTCAATGACAAGAGCCTTCTTTCCTTCACTTCCAGAACATTTCCTTGCTTTTCCTCAGTCCCTTGCCAGCTGCCTTCTCATGCCTGCCAGCCTCCTCTCTGGGGCTGAGTCCCACAGCCAACCCGCAATGTTTTTTGGCTTTTGTCATGGTAGCATCCCACTTCAAAGTACCTGATTCTGTTCTGGTTACTATTGCTGCATAAGAAACCACCATCTAATAGCGTAAAAGCATCAGCTGTTTTATTTTTCTCCCAGGGCATGATCGGTTGGCACAGGGTGCTGGTGTGGCTCAGTGTCTAGGACCTCAGCTGGGGAGACAGAACAGCTGTGGCTCTGCGGCTGCGGTAGAACCATCCCGAGGTCACGTAGCACCAGGTAGGAGAGAACATGAAGGCTGGGCTCACCTGGAGCTGACATTTGCAGCACTGTTCATGGTGTCTCTGAGAGGCTGGGTTCTGAGGAGTGTCCCAAGAGCCTGCATTCCTAGAGGACTGAGAGAGCTGCATGGCCTTTCCTGAGCTGCCTCGGGAGCCACTGCAGGCCTCGCGACCTAGGGGTTACATCAGACATTACAAGTCCAAGACCAAGGGGAACAAACACGGACCCTGTTTCTCAATGGGAAGATGTCAAAGAATTTACAGCCATTGGAAAAAAAAACACCACAGCTTACTCTCTAGTCACACATTATTTACATATTAGTCCATTCTCATGCTGCTATGAAGAAACACCTGAGGCTGGGTAGTTTATAAAGAAAAGAGGTTTAATTGACTCGCAGTTCCTCATGGCTGGGGAGACCTCAGGAAATTTACAATCATGGCGAAAGATGAAGGGGAAGAAAGGCAACTTCTTTACAGGGTGGCAGGAAGGAGAAGTGCTGAGCAAAGGAGGAAAAGCCCCTTCTAAAAACCATCAGATCTCATGAGAACTCACTCACTATCATGAGAACAGTGTGGGGGTAGCTGCCCCCATGATTCAGTGACCTCCCACAGGGTCCCTCCCACCACACATGTGGATTATGGGAACTACAATTCAAGATGAGATTTGGGTGGGGACACAGCCAAACCATATCAGGGACTGAATTGTGCCCCCTACCTCCAAATTCATATATTGAACCCAATCCCCAATGTGACTGTATTTGAAGATAGAGCCCTTAGCAAGGTATTCCAAGGTGAGCAGGTCTATGCAAACCTGCCCCCAAAGTCAAGGAGGCTCAGAAAGAGGCTGACAAATCAGTTTCTGAGAAACATTTAACAGTGACTTGTGAACAGAAGCTATGTCTGTGTCTTGGGCAGCATCGAGGGAAGTGGGTGGATCTCCTCATTGTTACCCTCCCAGACCCAGGGCTTATAGACCATAGGGGAAGAGTATGCATGCTTCAGAGGTGATGTGTAGGATAACCGCATGGTAAGTAAGATAATGTCAAGATTGTTTTGCCCTAAGGGCAGGATTTATGGTAAGTGCATGCTCTTACACAAGGACCAGTAGTTAAAATACAAATCTTAGAGGCATTTCAGGAACCGGGGTCAATCAGAAGCCAACACGGAGGATCAGCATCCAAGATGGAGCTGCTTTAGGCTCCACAGGAGGTCATTAAGGTTCAACAAGATCATAAGGGTGGGTCGCCAATCTGATAGCACCTAATCTGGTGCCCTTATAAGAAGAGGAACACATACTGGAGTGCTCTCATTGCATGCACACAGTGGAAAGGCCGTTTGAGGACACAGCAAGAAGGTGGCTGTCTACGAGCCGGAAAGAGAGCCCTCACCAGAAATCTAATTTGCTGGCACCTTGATCATGCACTTCCAGCCTCCAGAACTGTGAGAAAATAAATTTCTGTTGTTTAAGCCTCCTAGTCTGTGGTATTTTGTTAAGGCCGCCTGAGCAGACTATTGTATGAAAACCAGCTATCATCAGCTAGAAAACCAGCAGCTATACCTGGTTACTGGAAGAATTGTTTTTTGAGGTTGTGGGACTGAGGTCCTTAGTTCTTGCTGGCTGTTGGCTGTCAGCCTCAGTGAGTTCCTAGAGGCAGCCCTCAGTCCTTGTCATGGGGAATGTCCCCAAAATAGCCACTTGTTTTATCAAAGCTAGTAAGAGAGTCTCCTTGCAAAATGGAGGTCAAAATCTTATATCACAGAAGTGACATCCCATTACATCCCATTACACTTGTGGTATTCTATGGTTCAAAGCAAATCAAAGGTCCCGCCCGCTAAAGGTAGGGGGACACTGCAGGCGTCAATAAGGGGCTGACTGCTGACAGCTCTGAAGCCCTGCCGCCCTTCCACCGCATATCTTGGTGGTCTGATGAGGAAGTGTGCACATGGCTTCCCGTGGGGCCAGTGGGAAGCTCAAACCACGCAAGTCCCACCTGCACACATGAGCTCTTCTCTTTCCCTATGCCCTAACCCCAAGAAAACCCAGGCTACCCACCTCCATCCTTTCCCAAGCCACTCAAGCCAGTTCTAGACCAGCTTGCGTGCTGGGCTGCTGCACCCAGAAGCACTCATGATGGCTAACAGGTGTTTTCATGCCCTCTTAGGGTGTGTCACATCATCCATCTCAACATTCGACCTATCGATTGGGAGGGGCAATCCTGAATCAGCAGATTCAATGCAGCAGGCACAGATACCAGGAGGCAGGGAAAGTGGGGCCACTTCAGAGCTGGCCAAACTTTGCTTTATGACAAACCGTAGTCTACTTTGCTTTCTTGGTAAATGTTCCACGTGTACCTGAAAATAACAGACACTCTGCTAGCGGTTGGTGAAGTGGATATACTGATTTTATATATTTGTGTATATATGTAAGTCTCATGATATATGCCGACATGACGTGTGTCATGTTGGTTAAATGAGCTGTTTGAATCTCTGTCCTCCGCCTTTTTGTTCTGAGTTACGTGACAGGTGTGTTAAATTCCCCAACTACAATTATGGATGGTTCCGTTTCTCCTTTGAGTTATATTAATTTTTGAATTTCTGGATTTTATATTTTGAAGGTATGTTATAGACACACAAATCTGGGGCTGCTATTTCTTTCTACTGAATTGACATTTTATCATTATGAAATAATTCTCTTATTTCTGGTAATACCATTTGCATTAAAGTCTGCTTTTTACAATATCAGTATGATTTGTGTTTTACACTATCAGTATGGTTTGTGTTGGTGTGGTATTGTTTCACTCTTTTACTTTCAACTAAATGTTTCTTTATAGTAAAGTATGTTTCTTATAACTACCATTTAGTCAAATCTCTAAAAGAGATACTTAAAAATATTGGCATTGGCCGGGCACGGTGGCTCACACCTGTAATCCCAGCACTTTGGGAGGCTGAGGTGGGTGGATCACTTGAGGTCAGGAGTTCGAGATCAGGCAGACCAACATGGTGAAACCTCATCTCTACTAAATATACAGAAAAAAAAATTAGCTGGGAAGGGTGGCACACGGCTTTAATTCCAGCTACTCGGGAGGCTGAGGCATGAGAATCGTTTAAACCCAGGAAGCAGAGGTTGCAGTGATCTGAGATTGTGCTACTGTACTTTAGCCTGGGTGACAGGGCTAGACTCTGTCTCAAAAAAAAAAAAAAAAGGCATGTTTTCTATCTTTACATTTAATGTTGTTACAAATATAGTTGGGTTTAATTCTGCCACCTTGCTGTTTATTTTTATTTTATTTTTTATTATACTTTAAGTTCTGGGATACATGCCTAGAACGTGAAGGTTTGTTACATAGGTACACACGTGCCATGGTGGTTTGCTGCACTGCTGTTTATTTTTCATTTGTCTTGTCTGTTTTTTATTTCTGTAGTACTCTCTTACTGTTTTCTTTTCCATTTTTAAAATTTATTATTTTTCTTTTATCTTCTATTTTGCTTGTTGTCATACATCATTGTATTTTTTGAGATCTCATTATGCACTCTTGACCTGCCTGAAGTTATTAGGATACTTTTGCTTTGTCCTAACAAAGATCCAGCACGTTACAATTGTTTATTTATCCCCCTTGCTCTGTGTGCGGCTGTTGGCATATATTCCACCTCTACACATTATAAACCTCACAAGTCACAATTATTGTTGATTTAAGGACAAATGTTAAAAATACATTTATCCATTTATTTACACTTTCTAGTACTCTTCTGTCCTTCCTGCAGTTATGAGATTATCTTATTTTAGCCTGAAGTTCTTCTTTTAGCATTTTAGTGCATGTTTGCTTCAGTCAGATTCTGTTTATCTGAAAATGAATTTATTTTGACTTCCTTTGTAATGGCTATTCTTCTTAGGCTTAGAATTATACATCAGCAGATTTTTCTCTTTTTTTTTTATCATTATACTGTAAGTTCTGGGATACATGTGCAGAATGTGCAGGTTTGTTACATATACACGTGCCATGGTGGTTTGCTGCACCCATCAACCCATCATCTACATTAGGTATTTCTCCTAGTACTATCCCTCCCCTAGCCCCCCACCCGCTGACAGGTCCTGGTGTGAGATGTTCCCCTCCCTGTGTCCACATGTTCTAATTGTTCAGCTCCCACTTATGAGTGAGAACATGTGGTGTTTGGTTTTCTGTTCTTGTGTTAGTTGCTGAGAATGATGGTTTCCAGTTTCATCCATGTCCCTGCAAAGGACATGAACTCATCCTTTTTATGGCTGCATAGTATTCCATGGTGTATATGTGCCACATTTTCTTTATCCAGTCCATCACTGATGGGCATTTGTGTTGGTTCCAAGTCTTTGCTATTGTGAACAGTGCTGCAATAAACATACGTGTGTGCATGTGTCTTCATAGTAGAATGATTTATATTCCTTTGGGCATATACCCAGTGATGGGATTGCTGGGTCAAATGGTATTTCTGGTTCTAGATCATTGAGGAATCGCCACACTGTCTTCCACAATGGTTGAACTAATTTACACTCCCACTAACAGCGTAAAAGCGTTCCTATTTCTCCACATCCTCTCCAGCATCTGTTGTTTCCTGACTTTCTAATGATCACCTTTCTAACTGGTGTGAGATGATATCTCATTGTGGTTTTGATTTGCATTTCTGTAATGACCAGTGATGAAGAGTTTTTTTTCACGTTTATTGGCCGCATTAATGTCTTCTTTTGAGAAGGGTTCATTTCTCTTCATTATTTTTTCTCTAATCTTATCTTCACACTTTATTTCATTAAGTTGATCTTCAGTCTCTGATATCCTTTCTTTTACCTGATTGATTTGGCTATTGATATTTGTGTATGCTTCATGAAGTTCTCGTGCTGTGTTTTTCAGCTCCATCAGGCCATTTATGTTCTTCCATTTGGGGCTGGGTTTATAGTTTTGTAACCCCTATGCCAAATGTTGACACCTTATAGTAATTGGCAGGGATAAGTAGGAAATTGCTTGATAAATAAATGCAAACAAAAATGTATGCTGGCAATTCTTAAGACATTTCTAAATTACTTTGCCACTATTTTTAAAGCTAACTTATTTATTAAAGATTTTAAGTAAACTTAACATTTGACTAGTCTTTCCCTTTTTCTAATAAAGTATTTTATTTGAGCACTTTTATTTTTCTTTAATTAATAAATAAATAATTTATTTGAGCACTTTTATTTTTCTTTAAGCCAATTAATTATAGCTCTTCTATATTTTTTAATAGAGAAACATTGTGTACGCAACACATAAATACATAGATGTATTAGGTATACCGATAGAAGTACATCTTATAGATTCCTAAGACCTCTTTTTTTTTTTCTATCTTAGACTTGCAAACTCTTGATCATCTGTGTCATTGCCCTGGCAGTTGCCGGCTAAATAGCCCTAAATCTGCATATTAAAGGAAACTATTAGATGAAAAATTAGATAGCAAAATTTACATTTTAAGGTACAGAGAGGAAAAAGTCTGGTGGTGCTAAAGAGAGATTAAAAATGGATGTGAAATCAAACATAAAATTATGAAAATCTATCATAGGATTGTATAAGGAGACCAGTTTTATTTAGACAGAGACTCCCTATATTTTAACTGGATCTCTGAGCTCTGGGCAGACCCTACACTGAATCCTGGGTCTCCAAAAAGCGAAAATTATTATGAGGTTAGACTACATCATGCTTTTACAGTGCACTTAAAAAACTTTTTTCAACAAAGACATTTCTACATGTCTAAACTATACTATTCCTTAAGAACTCCAGAGTAGCCTCTGTTGCAGTAACTATTTTAGTAAAAAAATTAGGTAACACAATACAAAAGCAAGCAGTTTAAGAGCTGAGATGAAAAAAAAAAAAAGCTGAGATGAACTTGTCTGTTTACACATTTGGGGTTCCATAAGGAAACAGAGGTTTCTCCTCCAAGGGGAATCTGGCACCTTCTCCGTTTTCTGTAAGGAACCCTGGGTATTACAAACTATATTAGGTTTCCCATGAAGCAGAGGGTGCAAGAGAAAGAAGACACGACAAAAGTAAATGAAGAAAACAGAAGCCAGTCAACTAAGAAGAAAAAAACTTTTGCTCAAAAAGACAAGGTCCTAGGAGAGAAAAAAACAAAAAAAACAAAACTGGAAGCCTTTTAAATACAAACACACACACACAGGCACACAACACACATATGTTGGATGTTAGCTTTTAATTAAGCTTTTAACCATTGAGCTCCTTAAAAATAAACTTTTTCAATCTCATTACTGGCTGGGCATGGTGGCTCATGCCTGTAATCCCAACACTTTGGGAGGCCGAGGTAGGCGGATCACTTGAGGCCAGTTTGAGACCAGCCTGGCCAACATGGTGAAACCCCATCTCTACCAAAAAAATACAAAAATGAGCTGGGTGTGGTGGTGCAGGCCTATAATGCCAGCTACTCAGGAGGCTAAGGCATGGGAATCACTTGAACCTGGGAGGTGGAGGTTGCAGTGAGCTGAGATTGTGCCACTGCACCCCAGCCTGGAACACAGAGCCAGACTCTGTCTAAATAAATAAATAAATCTCATTATCATATTTCAGCTAGGACTAATTGCTGCTATTTCAGAAGTACCAAGTATCAAACCAGAAAGGGCTTAATTTAGGAACTAAACCCAGGCTGTGGTGGTGGAAAAAAAGAAGGCAGAACCCTTAGGTATGGAACTGCAGTGTGGGGTGACAGACATTACTCTTTTTGGTTGGTCTGGCTAGCAAAAATGTGGCCTTGTTATGTAAGAAAAGCCCTTTAAGTAGTCAAAATAAATTTTTTTTTTCTTTTTCCTTTTGCTAGCTGTTTTTCTCCCCCCACCACATCACCTTTTGTGTGTGTGTGTGTGGTGGGGAGGGGTTGAAACTTAGCCACTTCAGAGGCCTCACTTCTCATAATTTGGAACTTTCCTTTGGTTTCGATCAAGTCAGATAGAGTTCGTCAAACTCAATGCGAAAAAGACAAAAGAACAAAAAACAGAAACAACAACAAAAAAACCAGTTAAGCGAAACGAAGGATTGGGCAATTTATAAGGTTACTGAGCACACTAATGGTAAGGAGAAATTAAGACCAGCTGGTTGTTAATCTTAATAGCCAAGACAAACCCCAATTCAGTTACTTCCTAGGGATGGGTCTGAGGCTGAAGATTGCTCTCTACCACCCTAGAAGCAGAGGAAGAAAACCCCTCATCTTTCCTGTGGGAAGCGAGCTCAAACTCCATAAACGAGTTACCTGCCTTCCATTGTCATGGAAGCAGGAAAAAACTACTACTTCCTTATGTTGGAAGAGAGTAAAGCACACCCCGCCCCCCAACCCCCGCCCAACACACAAAAGGAGTTGTACAGCAAAATAAACTAGATCTTGACTAAATCTGGGTAGATCAGGGATTCTCTGGAGGGGGTGCTTCCAGGCCTCAGCAAATTGTCCTATTGGTTTGAGCCATAAAGATAGCTCAAGCTGGTACTAAGGACTGACAGATTTGTCAAAGGTCAGTGGCACCTCTACTCAGAATCCCTTTGTGGTTACCAAAATGTGAACCTTGAATATCTGAGTCAGATCTCAGTCAACTTAGGAAGTTTATTTTGCTGAATTTAAGGATGCACGCCCATGACACGGCCGTCGGAGGCCCTGATGACATGTGCCCAAGGTGGTCAGAGCACAGTTTGGTTTTATACGTTTTAGGGAGACATGAGACATCAATCAATATATGTAAGATGAACATTGGTTTGGTCCGGAAGGGCGGGACAACTCAAAGCAAAGGCAGGAGGGAGCTTCCAGGTCATAGGTAAATATGAGACAAATCATTGCATTCCCTTGAGTTTCTGGTTAGCCTCTCCAGAGGTGGCAATCAGATACGCATTTATCTCAGTGAGCTGAGAGATGACTTTGAACAGAATGGGAGGCAGGTTTGCCCTAAGCAGTTCCCAACTTGACTTTTCCTTTTAAGCTTAATGATTTTGCGGCCCCCAAATTTATTTTCCTTCCACATTTTTTTTTTTAAATCAGACTTAAGGTCTGCCTTGATGTTAATGCTGGAGGAGTGTAAAAAGGCATGTCCAACTCTTACTTCCCTTCGAGGCCAGAATAGTCTCTCAGGTTGAACTTCAGGGTCCCCTGGTAAAGGAGGGAGTCCAGTCAGACGGCTGCGGGGGAGGGGGGGCTTCGAATTTTATGTTTTACAGGCATTAGCGCCACCCATTTCTCCTTAACCCCAAACTTCCTCTCCCCACAACAGAAACGTCATCATTCTGCTTCCACTTATCCAGAAGAAAGGCAGAGGGCGCACACTGCGCAGCGCGGATGGGAAAGTTAACTGAATTATTTGCGGGAAGACAGAGGAGGTGGGGGGTCCCCCAAGCCCCAGCCATTTTGTGGCTCGTAGGGGTTGTCGCTTCCCAAGCCGTGAATGGCCCAAACCCGCCCCCCGCCCCAGGTCGGACTCCTGCCCCGCGCCCCTCTGGGTCGGACCCCAAGCCGAGCCCCCCAACCCCGCGGCTGGGCTGGGCGATTGGGGACGAGCTCCACACATGGAGAACCTGGCCTCGCCTCGCAAGACCGCGGGACGCGCAGATGTGAAGTGCGCCTGCGCGGGGCGCAGCCCCAGCTGCAGACGATCTGTGAGCGACGCGCCGGCGCAAGTCGAGGGCGGTGGCTTGGCTTCCCTGGAATGGGGGACGTCTTAGGACTGCGCCTGCGCGGGGCGCCGGGCCCTGGGCGGGGCCTTCCCGGCTGACGGCCTGCGTGCACTGCGCTTGCGCGGGTTGAGGGCGGTGGCTCAGGCTCCTGGAAAGGACCGTCCACCCCTCCGCGCTGGCGGTGTGGACGCGGAACTCAGCGGAGAAACGCGATTGAGGTAGGTGTCCTGATGGGCAGCTCAGATGGCTGGACTGCACGTAAGGAAGGACAGGCCAGGTGAGGCGTCCTCGCACTGCGTGTGCGTCGCTGGCGGACAGAGGCCTCCGCCCCCTTTTGGGACCTCCGAGCGCCTTCGCGATCTCAGCCACTTTCCCTGGCGTCCAAACGGGAGCTCGGTCCCCGTCACACCCTTCCCTGCGTGCCGCACCCCTTCCCGGCCACTCCCGCCGTCCAGCGCCTTCTACGGCCACGCCCACCCCACCACCATCTCTGTCACGCCCTTCGCGGCCACGCCCACCTGCCTGGCGGCCCCTGCCCCGAAGCTCGCGGCGCTGTCCCAGCCTGACCCTCTCGTGCCCCTGCGTCCACGCGTGGCCCTCTCGCTTCCTGCCCCCTTCTCACCCCCCTTCACTGGCCACCTGTTCCAACCCTCCATGATCCTGTTCCTCCCGAGGGCATCTTAGGAGGGCAGGGTCCTGCGCGCACTGCGGCCTCCACTCCGACCCCGTCCCAGTTTGGACCCAGGTCTTCCAATGAAAATATAATTATGCAAATCAGTAAGCATTTGTAACTACGAATATCACAAAAATAAGCTTCAAGTCTGGATTTAGAAGTGAAGCATGCATTTTAAACAAAGAATTGCTATGCAATTTTAAAAACACATTGATCCCAGAGCAGTGTGTGGATTACACTATCACTGGAAAAATACGAATTGAGAAGAAGGAAAAGACTGGAAGATGCAGACCTTGGTTCCTGTTAGTGGAAACACTGTAAGGTCCCAGGTAGGGACTTTTAATTGGAATTAAAGCTATCACACTTCTAAGAAATTAATGAATACTGATTTATTGCCTTAAGTCGACACCTGATCTAACAGAAACTAACAGGCTTCAGCAAATGAACAAGATTAACACCTTGCAGACTAGTGAAGAAAACACACTATTTGAAGTTTATGATTTTTAAATGCTTTTGTCTCTGTAAAGTATTGTAAATTTTCATTTCTACACTAATCTTCACACATACACATTTTACTTCTATTTGGTAGAGGACATCATGCACATTAGAAGTTAAGTGAACTCAATTATTAAGCAATGTAACAAGTACTTTGTGTCTCCTTCTCTTTTTAAAAGTAGAAATGGAAAAGAAAATGAAATAAATCAGCAGTTATGAGGCAGAGCCTAAGAGAACTATGGCAACATCAGGTGACTGTCCCAGAAGTGAATCGCAGGTAATTTCCGTTCCACTTCCTAAAAATCTGTGTTTAATGAATGTGAGCATTACAGAGAGCTAAGCGTCAGCTCACAGATGTGATGGAGCTTGGCTTGTGCCTTGGAAGGTGGCCACCGGCAGTAGAATGCTTAAATGTGAAGATTGTGAGGCAGAGGAAACGCAGTGCCTGTAAGGTGACATCCTGCATTGGGCACCATAACAATTCTAAGGAAATACTTAGCCCCAAAACATCAGCATCATTTAGGGTTCCATTTTTGGTACGTGAACTGGCAAAGCAAGCATATTTTCTGAGCTGTTCAATAAAATTTCAGGCATAATACCAGCAATATATTGAAGGCAAGTTGGACACATTAGAAAAGATTTATGTATTCATACTGTTTCTGCCTGGGGTACTCATGTAGTTTCGTTCAAGTTAGCAGTAAAAAATACCCCTCAAATTGTAAAGACTGTTGATTATGTAAAAGTCACCAACTGAATAATAGATACTGTTTTTAAAAATCAAGCATTTCCGTATCTGTTATGTCAATTTTAATGTTTTCTTTTTTTCTCTTTCATTCCAATGAGCTTTCATTTGGCTTTTTATATATAGGAATTTTATTTATAGTCAGAATCTTTCGTTAATTTCTTTAATTATTCATAAAATGTTTTAATTCCGTGGACATCTTATTTTTCTTTTGAGAAATTTAACAAATATTAGGACATTTCCAGAATGATATTGTAAACATCAAGTACATTAAACAGTGTACATTAAGCTATATATATGTGTGTGTATATACATATATGTGTGTGTGTGTGTGTATATATATATGTATATGTAAAAAATACTGTCGGGTGTGTCTGTAGTTCAGCTACTCAGGAGGCTGAAGCAGGAGAATCACTTGGGGCCGGGAGTTTGAGGATGTGGTGTATTATGATTGTGCCTGTGAATAGCCACTGCATTCCAGCACGGCCAATAAACTGAGACTTCATCTCTTAAAAAAGAAAAAGCGACACTCTAGATAAAGTTTGTTCCCCAGTCTCAGTCCTATTCCTCCTCTTCTCTCTCTAGAGGCAAACACTACTGTGAATCATGAGTCTGTTTTGTGCCACTGCACCATTTTTATACCTCTATGGCTTATATAGATATACTTGAATGACATATGATATTGTTTGTGTGGGCTTTTTAGAGTTTCCATAGTGGTGTCATACTGTCAGTGTCACCTGTAGCTTGCCTCTTCATATAACTTTACCTTTGGGGAAGTTGTCCTTGTTATGTGTGTAATGCTGGTTCAATCCTGCCACTGTAGGGTACTCCTGTAGTGTGTTCCTTCTCTGAAAGTGTAAAGTATCCTATTTGTAGATATGTGTATGGGCCTGTTGCAGTCTCACTGCTACACAGTAGGCATATACCCCATTTTACTTATTCCCTTTTTGTTGGACACTTAAATTGTTTCTAGTTTTTTCTATTTCAAACAATGCTGTAGTGACCATCCGTCTCCATGCCTCTGTGCTCCAGTAATGGCATTGCAGGGTGCAAGGGATTGCAAGTTTCAGTTTTACTGGATAATGATCAGTTGTTCCCCACAATGACTTTACGAGTTCACAGGTCTGTCAGTAGCCCACAATAGTGCTTACTAACACTTGACAGTATCAGACTTTTAAGTTTTGGTCAGTCTCATGGGTTAGAAATGGTATTTTGTTATTTCAATTTTGCTGACTGGTCATGGTAGTATTTCAGTAATACTTGTGTTCATCCTGTTAATACCACCCTCCATTATAGAAGAGATGTCTTATAATGGTAATTTGTGTTTTATCTCTTTTTTTCACACTTGATCAATCTTTTCTTAGGGTTTTATCAATTTTATTTTTATAAAGAACCAATTTTATCTGTGTTGATTTCTCTGTTTTTCTATTTCATTGATTTCTGCTTTTGTCTTTATTTCATTCTGTTGTATTTGGGTTAATTTTTATAACATCTGAGAGGGAAGCTTAGATAATTGATTTTAAACCTTTCTTTAATAGTCTTTAAAGCTATGACTTTCCTCTAATCACTGCTGTAGCTGTACCTCACATATTTAAATGCATTTTCATTCTTCAAAATATTTTCTAATATATTCAATGGAAATTAGAAGTTTTCTGGGCTATTTGAAAGTATGTTGACCAATTTCTAAACATATTGGAAATTTTACTTTTTCTTATTTAATTTTGCTTTGATTACATTGGTTAGAGAACATAACATCCTCTATAATTTCAGTCTTTTGAAATTTATTCAGGCTTGCTTTATGTTCTAATCATATGGAATATGTTGGTGAGTGTTCCATGAGTACTTGCAAAGACTATGTATTCTGCAGTTGTTGAGTGTAGCATTCTATAAATGTCATGAAGATCAAATGTGTTATTAGTATTGTTGAAATCTCTATATCTTTTCTGATTTTTTTTGCCATCTTCTATCAGTTACTAAAAATTCTCCACTATGATTGTAGATATATCTATTTTTCCTTTTGGTTCTATCACTTTTTGCTTTGTATATTTTGAGTCCCTGTTATTGGGTGTATATATTTAGTATAGGTTTTGTTTTCTAGATTAATTGACCTTATTTTTTATAAAACATCTGTCTTTTTACCTGTTAATAAATACTTCTTTTCTTGCGTGTACCTTTTTTTTAATGCTAATATAGCTGTACCAGCTTTTTTTTTTTATCATTAGTGCTTACATAAAGTGTGTGTGTGTGTGTGTTTGTGTGTGTGTGTGTGTGTATTTTTTTTCCCTCAACTTAAGTCCTTATATTTAAAGCGTTTTTCTCGTAAAGAGCTAGTTGGGTCTAGCTCTTAGGTCTGTTTTTTTGTTTCTCTGTTAAACACAATTTCTGCCTCTTAATTGGAGTATTTAGTCTATTAACACTTCATGTTATGACGAATGTGATGAAGTGTAACATTTTGCTGTTTGTTTTATGTTTGTCACATTTCTTTTTCCTGCATGTCTCCATTCCTGCCCTCTTGTGGATAAATAAAGGATTTTCTATAATTCCATATTACCTCCTTTAATAGCTTGTTAGCTGTATCTTTTTATATTGTTTTAGTGTTTTCCCAAGAAATTGCAGTATGCATCCTAATTCAATTTCAGTCTTTTTTTTAACTACTTCATAAGGTAAAGATCTTAGAAGTTAGTTTCATTTACCAGCGTCCATATTTTTGTACTGTTGATGTAACATTTTAATTTTACATATGTTGTAAACGCCACAATAAATTATCATTATTGCTTTACGCTATCGAGTCTTTTTTTATGAAGTAAAATAAATAGTCTTTTTTATGTTTCCCCACATATTATTTGCCTTTTTTGAGGTCTTTCCCTTTTTCTTGCATTCTGTGTTTTCATGTAGGATCATTTCCCTTCAACCTGACAACTTTATGTTTATATTTACTAGTGTGAGTCTGCTGTGTCAAACTATGAAATGTGTTTTGCCTACATTTTTTTTTTTTTTTTTTTTTGAGACGGAGTCTCGCTCTGTCGCCCAGGCTGGAGTGCAGTGATGCGATCTCGGCTCACTGCAAGCTCCGCCTCCTGGGTTCACACCATTCTCCTGCCTCAGCCTCCCGAGTAGCTGGGACTACAGGTGACCACCACCACGCCCGGCTAATTTTTTGTATTTTTAGTAGAGACGGGGTTTCACCATCTTGGCCAGGCTGGTCTCAAACTTCTGATCTCAGGTGATCTGCCCACCTTGGCCTTGATGGTTTTTTTTTTTTAATTTTGGAAAAATCTCCACCATTATCTCTTCATTTATTTTTTTCTGCCTCATCTTCTGTCTTCTTTTTTGGGGTCTCCATGTAAACATAAGTTAGAATTTTTGCTGCTGTTTGACATGTCTCATGCTCTATTCTTATTTTTTTTTTCATTTTGTGCTTCAGTTTGGAAAATTTCTGTTGACCTGACTCTTGAGGCGCTGATCATAAACAAGATAACTGGGAAAACAATATGTTTGTAAAACAATTTCTTGAGATGTGAAATAGTATCTATATTGTACCAAGAGTAGTCCCAGCTACTTGAGAGGCTGAGGTAGGAGGATTGCTTTAGCTTGGGAGGTGGAGGTTGCCATGAGCCAGGATCATGCCACTGCACTCTAGCCTGGGTGACAGAGGGTGACCTCATCTCAAAAAAAAAAAAAAAAAGCGTATTCTTCAACCCTGGCATTCTATCCTGCAGAAATAAAATGTCATCACATAAGCTTGTCTGTGCACAGACTTCTTTTATTGCAGCATCGGTTATGGTGGTAGAAAACTGGATACCAAGACAAAGTCTATCAAAGGGGGATGGCTGAAGAATCAAGCGGAATTCCTGCTATGGAATATCGTATAGCCATTGAAGGTAGTAAATCAGGGTTCTAACAGTTGGAGAGTTTTTCCAGAAGGTATTGTGTAAGAAAAGCAAAGTGCAGGTCAGGCGTGGTGGCCCACGCCTGTGATGCCAGCACTTTGGGAAGCTCAGGTGGGCAGATCACTTGAAGTGGGGAGTTCGAGACCAGCCTGGCCAACATGATGAAACCCCATCCATTTCTACCAAAAATGCAAAAATTAGCCGGGCGTAGTGACACACGCCTGTAGTCCCAGCCTCTCGGGAGGCTGAGGCATGCGAATTGCTTGAACTGGGGAGGTGGAGGTTGCAGTGAGCCGAGATTGTGCCACTGCACTCCAGCCTAGGCGACAGAGCGAGACTCCATCCTAAAAAAAAAGCCAAACAAAGAAACAGCCTGTGTGTGTGTGTGTGTGTGTGTGTGTGTATACGTGTACACAGGGCTTTGTGTGTGACATGGGCATGGTGGAGGTGTGGAAGGCCGCACACCGGGGGGTTAGTAAGGGTTGCCTGGGCTGGGTGGATCGGGGATGGGGTGGAGAGCAAGCAGAGGGCAGTGCTGCCTTAGAGTGAGTCATGCTCCTGGCATAGGGAAAAGCACGAAGGGTACAAATAGACAGTAAGGTAAAAAAAGATGCCAGCAAGTATTTTAAAAACGCCTAACCACACAAAGAGAGGGAAATGGAAGTAACAACAGTGATTTTTACCCATGAAATTGACAGAGACTAAAGTGATTGGTATCTATTGAGTGAGAGTGTGGGAAGATTGGTGGTTCCCTCTCAGCAAGCGGTCCAGGGAACACCTTTCTGGAGAGCACTGGGTGGTAAAACCAAAAGCCACATAGTCTCAGTCCATCAGGTTCACATTCAGAGACTTACCCTAAGAAGATTAAGGTACATACAGAATGATTTATGTTGAAAGAAGTTCATCTTAACATGATTTAGAATAGTAAAAACTGAAAAGTCTAAATGTACAAGACTAGGAAACTGGATAGGTAAGTCCTGATAATTCATAGACTGGATATTAAATAGTGTTAGAAGTATATTTAATAAGAAAAATGTTCAGAGTTTATAAAGTGAAAACCATAGGCCACAGGCTTATTGTGTGAACCCAGTGAATGCTTTGTACTTATGTTACGTGTCCACTTTTTTAAAAGTCTGAAAGTATAAACACCAATGTGCTGTCTGTTATTATCTGTGATCAGTGAGCAAAATTACAGGAGGTTTTAATTTTCTTCTGTGTACTTGGTGTTTTCACACATTTTCTAAAGTAAACACGAATTACTTTTATGTTTAGGAAAATGTGTTTAAAATGTATGTATTGAGACAAGGTTGATTCATTGAACTGGAGTGTGTGATCTGAGGTTCTGCCCCCTGCAGTGATGTCTTCCAGGCAAGCTTATTCTTATATAAAGTGAACGGCCAGGCATGGTGGCTCATGCCTGTAGTCCTAGCACTTTGGGAGGATGAGGCAGGTGGATTGCCTGAGCTGAGGATTTCGAGGCCAACCTGGGCAACATGGTGAAACCCCATCTCTACTAAAAATACAAAAAATTAGCTGGGTGTAGTGGTGCACACCTGTTGTCCCAGCTACTTGGGAGGCTGAGGCATCAGAATCACTTGAACCTGGGAGGCGGCAGAGGTTGCCCTGAGCCGAGATCATGCCATTGCCCTCCAGCCTGGGCAACAGAGCAAGACTCTGTCTCAAAAAAAAAAAAAAAAAAAAAATGGAGGGGTTGGGGGAGGCTCCAAGGACCTGTGTGGGTCCAAGCTGGGCTCTGCTGCCTCGTGGAGGTTTGTGCCATGCCATCAGCTCTTTCCACAGGCCCCTGGCTGTGCCTGCCTGGGGCGCTGGGCCCCTGGCTCTGTCCTCACACTGGTTTCTCTTCATGGGGTTGATGATCACCTTCAGGAAGCAAAGCTGATGAAGGACAAGGGCTCCTCACCAAATAGACACTAGTGGTGCCTGTTTCTGACTTCTTGCTTTGATGTTCTCTTTTAGGGTCCAGATAATTTTTTTTTTTAGAAAAGAAATGTAGAGTGAAGGTGACAGCCTTTGATTATAGTAGTAAAGATGATCCAAATAGTTTGTATAATAAATACTTGGACACATGAATCTGTATTTGAAATTTGAAACCATCCTAATAATATAGCCAAAAAAAAAAAAAAAAAGCTCCAGCGTCCTCTCCTCACGCTTTCCTTGGCTTTGAGCAGGGAGAAGAGCCTGCTGAGTGCAGTGAGGCCGGTCTCCTGCAGGAGGGAGTACAGCCAGAGGAGTTTGTGGCCATCGCGGACTACGCTGCCACCGATGAGACCCAGGTAGCCACACGTGGTGGTTAATGCTTTATGGCTTTCAGCATGTTCAGTGTCAAAAGGAGATAAATTTTGCAGACGTCACACCAAAGTTAAATGAAGAGGTATTCAGATGCGTAGGGCCACACAAGACCTGTGTGTGAAGCTCACAGCCCAGCCAGTTCTGCCTCAAGCATGATGTAAAGATACGAGGCATGGAGTGGGGACCCTCAGCCAGGGGCAGAAGCACCTGTTCTGGTTTCTACTTGGAATGTAGAACCCACCCAGTTAATGAAAAGTAAGGCTACCAAATATATCAAGCTATATCTGCTTGGACATAGCTTTGTTTACTTTGTGACAGGAATTTCTTAGAGTCAGCCTCCAGTAACTCAGTTGGCATAGTTGAGTTACAATGAAGAGGCTGTTGAGAAATTCTCTCCTAAGCCATTTGAAAATGTTTACTCCTTCTTTTAAAAAATATCTGTTAAGCTGTGCCCTCCTTTCAGGTAGATGTTCCAGAGGCATCGCTAAGTCATGGTGTCACTTGCAAACATTCTCAGTTGCTGTCATTACCCACTGACTCCTGTTTGAAATCTCTGTGATTTTGTCACCATTGATGGGATTTATCACTGAGCCACATTTGAAATACCAATGACTGGTTTTCTTATTGAATTTTAACTTTTTTTTTTCCAGCTCAGTTTTTTGAGAGGAGAAAAAATTCTTATCCTGAGACAAACCACTGCAGATTGGTGGTGGGGTGAGCGTGCGGGCTGCTGTGGGTACATTCCGGCAAACCATGTGGGGAAGCACGTGGATGAGTACGACCCCGAGGACACGTGGCAGGATGAAGAGTACTTCGGCAGCTATGGAACTCTGGTATTGCTTTCTAAATTCCCTGTTCAGCTGGCCAGGCGGTGGGTTCTCTCTAGCTTTAGTTCTACTGCAACGTTCAGAGCAGGCCCATAGTCTTACAGGCCAGAGCTCCTCTGTTGTAGCCACTCAGCTCTGACATGGTTGTGTGGAAGCCACTGTGGATGACACACAAAGTGTGCACTGTTGTGTTCCAATAAAACTTTATTTATGGATCTTGAAATTTGAATTTATACTGTACAGTTTTCATGTGTCACAAAGTATTTTCTTTTGATTTAAAAAAATCATTTAAAAATGTAAAACCCACTGTTAGTTTGGAGGCCATCCAAAAACAGGTGGTGGGCTAGATTTGGCCCATGGCTTAGTTTGCCGACCCCTGGCTTAGAGATATGATTTGAGCAATGAGATTATGTGCGTGCTCCCTCAGTATTTAAAAAAAAAGCAGTAAATTTTACTTTAAAAATGAAATTAGGCTGAGTGTGGTGGCTGACACCTGTAATCCCTACACTTTGGGAGGCCAAGGCAAGAGGACACTTGGCTTGAGACCAAGTGTTCAAGACCAGCCTGACAACATAGTGAGAAAAAATAAAAAATATAATTCGTCTCTACAAAAAAAAAATTAAAAAAAAATATAATTAGCTGGGCATGGTGGTGCACGCCTGTAGTCCCAGCTACTCGAGAGGCTGAAGTGGGAGGATTGCTCAAGCCTTGGAGGCCAAGGCTGCAGTGAGCCATGATGGCGCTGTTGCACTTCAGCCTGGGCTACAGAGCGAGAGCCTGTCTCAAAAAAAAAAAAAATAGAAAAAATTCTATAAATCTATGAATAATACTACTTAGGTCAGGTGTGGTGGCTCATGCCTGTAATCACAGGACTTTGGGAAGCTGAGGTCAGAGCATCACTTGAAGCCAGGAGTTCAAGTCTGTGGTGAGCTATGATTGCGCTACTGCACTCCAGCCTGGGTGATTGAACCAGACTCTGTCCCTAAAAAAATAATAAAAGCCCAGCTTCTAAATAGCTTACCGAAATTTTTTCCCCACCATGGAGAAATGCCTATAACCCGATGGTCCAGGCAACAATCTCTGGTTACATTTTAAAACTAGATGAAAACAGTTACTTGCAGGATGAATGTTATAAAAATGATGTTAGTTGAAAGAAGGAATAGGGCAAAGAATCTATAACGTTTGACTCAATTATATAAAGTTAAGAGGCCATATTAGAAGGTTTTTTGTTTGTTTTTGTTTTTTTTTTTTTGAGACGTAGTCTTGCTCTGTCACCCAGACTGGAGTGTGGTGGCAGGATCCTAGTTCACTGCAGCCTCTGCCTCCCGGGTTCAAGCAATTCTCCTGCCACAGCCTCCTGTGTACCTGGGACTACAGGTGCGTGCCACCATGCCTGGCTAATTTTTGTATTTTTAATGAGGGGGTTTTGCCATGTTGGCCAGACTGGTCTTGAACTCCTGGCCTCAAGTGATCCTCCTGTCTCAGCCTCCCAAAGGGCTGGGATTACAGGCATGAACCATTGCGCCCGGCCGGAAGGTACTGTTTGTGAGTGTGCATGGGTGCTGAGACTGACTGAGGGCAGGAGTGGCTCCCCTGTTGGTTGAATGGAGGTTACCTGCTGGTAGGGGAGGCTCTGGGACCAGCGTGGCTGAGTCAGGAGTTCTGACATGCTGGCAGTGTTCTGGGGTTGGATATAGGTATAGAGGTGTTTGCTATATAACAATACTTGACTAACTCTGCAGATACTTTTTATTGCACTTTTTCGCAGGTATGCCATATTTCACAATTAAAAGTGTTAAAAACTATTCATGTCTGTACATGGTTAGTGATTTCTATCCGTTAAGGAAAGATACATAATGAAAAGCCAATTCCAGCCTCCCACCTCTGCCGCCTCTCAGCTCAAAGAACCACTGCCCACCAGATTCCTCTGTGCTTATGAAGTCCAAGTGACACCTAATGTATTTTACGTTTTTAATGTATAGAAAAGGCATTGTTCCACCACTCAGGTCTTCACCTTGCTCTTTTCACGTAGCTGTAGTATTTTGAAGATCTCTCATATTGGCACCTGTCACTCTTTATAACAGCTGCAGAGCGTTGTGTTACTTTAAAAGGGTCCTGTTGATATTTGGACAGTGGTTATTTAATAGCTTTTTATCATGATAAATAATGCTGTAATGGAGTCCTGTATAATCCTGTTAAATGCTGTTTAGAATTTCTATAGGGTAAATTCCTACGGGGTGTGTGTGTGTAGTGTGTACATGTGGTTTCCTTAAGTGGATCTTGCCAGTTCGCCCTCCAGAAAGATTTGCTAATTATACACTTGGTCTGTTTGTGCTGCTGTAACAAAATACCTTAGACTGAGTGAATTATGAAGAACAAAGCTTTGTTTCTCGCAGTTCTGGAGGCTGGGAAGGCATTGGCATTGGTGTCCAAGATGGCGCCTCATGGCTGTCCTCACGTGGTGAAGGCGGGAGGGCTGGGAGCACCTCTTTCACCACAAACCCTTTCATAGTAACCTCCAAAGGTGGCCTCTTAATGCCATCACACTGACGATTAAGTTTCAGTACATGGATTTTTGGAGACATTTCAGACCGTGGCATGATGGTGTGTGAAAGCTCATTTCCCTACCACAAATCAAAGTGAAAAAGGACTTTGATCTTAAAAGTTAAATATGGCATCTTTTAGTTTTGATTTCCATTTTTTAAGTAAGATTGATTATCTTTTATGTGTTTATGGGCCTTTTGTATTTTTTCTTTTTTTGTAAACTTTCATATTATTTGCCCCTTTTGATTTTTGTTGATTCGTGTGTTAAGTAATTTAGCCTGAATTTGTGAAGTTTTGTGACTTTGTGAAATTTTTTCCCACGTACAACTTTTTTCTTTGTATAGCCTAATATGGTTTTCTTTTCTTTGTGACTTCTTTTTCTTTTCTTTGTGAAAAACCTTCCTCACTATAAGATTATAAATACCCACACTTTTGTTTTCAGAACTGTTATGATTCTGTGTTATTTTATTTTTGTTTTTTATGTTTTTTAGAGATGGTGTCACACTCTGTCGTATGAGTGGCTGGAGTGCGGTGGTGCAGTCATAGTGCACTGTATCCTCAAACTCCTGGGTTTAAGGGACCTTCACCTTAGCTTCCCAAAGTACTGGGATTACAGGGGTGAGGCACCCTGCCTGGCCTTCTGATTCTATTTTAAACAATGAGATTTTAAATAATAAAAAATCTAGAAATTATTTGTTGTAAAAAATATAATGTAAAATTCCGCCCTAATGTATGCCCACAAATCTCCAGCGACCCCAGCCTCAGTTACTGGACAGTTCCCTTCGCGTTGATGTGAAACGGTGCGTTTGTCCTGCTCTGGATTTCAGGGGTCTGCTGTAGAATTCCTGTTGTTTCACTGGTCTGTTTACTGCAGTTCCCAGTGCTTCGTCATTTCCATCACTGCACCTTTGTAGGATCTGCAAGAGCTAGGTCTCCAGCAGTTCTTTTTTTTTTAAAGCATTTTCCTCATTAGCCTTGGGCACTTACTGTTTTGAAACTAATTTTATTATCATTTTGTTGTGCTTTCTCCTTTAGTAGGTACTGCATGGAATGTTTATGTTAATTTTGGGAGAGCTGACATCTTTATAACATTGACTCTCAGTCTCTGATTACTTAAGCTTTGTTTAATATCTCTTAGTATTTTAAGATAAGGACAATATCTCTTTGTCATACATGGTTGTGCACCTTTCTTGTTAAATTTGTTCCTAGGTATTTTTTGTGTATTATTACTGTTATAAGGGGGTGGGTGAAGTGTTCTCTAAATACCAATGAGATTAACTTGGTTGACAGTGATGTCCAGGCCTTCCATAGTCTTCCATAGGGGTGTTGGGGTCAGGGGTCATCAGCTGTGGCTCTGACCCTCCATCTCAGTCCAGACCTCAGCATGGCTCTAGGTCACAGGCAGTGATTCTGAATGTGCATTTCTTCCAGAAACTCCACTTGGAGATGTTGGCAGACCAGCCACGAACAACTAAATACCACAGTGTCATCCTGCAGAATAAAGAATCCCTGACGGATAAAGTCATCCTGGACGTGGGCTGTGGGACTGGGATCATCAGTCTCTTCTGTGCACACTATGCGCGGCCTAGAGCGGTGAGTGGGGTCTCGAGCGCATCCCGGGTGTTTGTGCCGAGGCTGGTGACGTCCGAGGTGGCCTCTGAGTGTGCTGACTTGTGACCCTGAGCTGTTGGGGGCTCACCGGTGACTCCATGGTCTTGTTGAGCACCCTGCACGTGGGGCTCAGGGTCGGTAAAATAGCAGTGCGTGGAGACCGCGTGCTAGAGGCCGTGGCGCCCGCGTACAATGAGTCGCAGACAGCACAGACGGGAGTAGGGCAGAATAGACAATATCCCGTGAATTGCGTGGGGCGGGGTATGTTCTGTGAGACGTTTATTTCAGTTGAGTAGAGAAACACGTGCACCCACATGTCTGTGCTGGGCCTTGGGTGTGGTTGGTCTCATGGGGTTGGGAGGGATGCACACGCTGGGCCCCCTCCCCACCCCTCTTAGGCCGTCTATACTGTGCTGAGCTGAGCCGAGCTGCAGCCTTGGAGACTCCTTACACAGTGGGTGGGGTCGCAGCACAGTGTCCACCCAAGTCCAGGCTCTGCAGGACCCAGGACCCAGCGCTTGGGTGCTTCCCACCAGACCCTTCCCTGAGAACCTGGGTTTGAAATTGTCTGACAGGCCTCAGATGTGGCACAGACCAGCATTGTCACTTGGGTGCTAAGAAGTTGCTGTGCTGGTCATGGATTAAGATTGCTGTGCGTGTGGCAGCCGGCTCGGGCATGCGAGTCTTCCATCCACTTGCAGCCCTGCGTCTGTGTCTTGTCCGGGAGGTGGGGGCAGTTGGGAGGGTTAGAGGCGGCTCCTTTCTGGGTGCCCCTGGAGGGGCAGGTGTGGCCAGTCCTCGCTGCCTCTGCTGTCTGGAATGCTGCTTCCCTCTTGTGTCATTGACCATTTCTCGTGATGCTGGTTGTGACTCAGGAGAGTAGATGACGGGCCGTGTGCCGGCCGGATGTACGCTGACGGTGCCTCTGCTGCTGCAGGTGTACGCGGTGGAGGCCAGTGAGATGGCACAGCACACGGGGCAGCTGGTCCTGCAGAACGGCTTTGCTGACATCATCACCGTGTACCAGCAGAAGGTGGAGGATGTGGTGCTGCCCGAGAAGGTGGACGTGCTGGTGTCTGAGTGGATGGGGACCTGCCTGCTGGTGAGGGCGGGCGTGCGGGCAGCTGGGGGCCGGAGCTGGGGGGCTTCTGAGCACGGGCTCGGCTGGGCCAACCTCAGGATCTCAAGGGTCGTGCGTGATTCATTTTGATGTTTTCCCTAATGTGAGGTCTAATTAATTTCTTGTGTGGACATTGGCTCAGTGTCTTGAATTTTCACCTGATTTAAAAAATGCCTTTATGAGAAATTTAAGTCAAAGTTCATGTAACATTTTCATGAGTGATTTACATGAACTGTGTTCTCCTCGGGGATCTGTAAAAATCCTGTGCCTAACAGGTAAGGCTGTTTCTTTAATGCCAGTAGGGCCTTCGTCCCTGGCCAGGGTCTCCTCGCCTTAGACTGGCCCCAGTGATGCTGTGAAGCCACTTGGGCATCTGTAGGGCCAGCATATGCCTGTCCTGTCAGGGTTGCTCACCCTGAGTTTCACATGTGGGTGGAAGTGGACTGTTTTCTGGTTGCCTGTGAATATGCCCTGCACAAACGCTGTCTGCTTGGAGGGAAGTTGACGGGAGTGTGGCTGGATGCTGTCTGCCCGCGCTGTCTTCCTGGGCTCAGCATCCTGGGACACAGGACATTGTAGTGGAGCATCCCAACCTGAAACTTTGTCTCAGTGTAGAGACCCAGAAAGATGGGGTCTGGGTGAAGGAGTGTGGAGTATGGCTGCTGCTTTCCAGGAAACGGTTTCCCCTGGTAACAGATGGCATTGGGCTTTTAGTCCTGTTGAAATTTTGTTGTCAGAAGATAAATGTAAATAGACTCAATGTCCATGCTGTGACTTGGCTTATTAATAACATCTGTGGAGCCATAAGATGACACACAGGAGAAACGGGCTCCACTCCTACCCCCTGAAGGGGCATTTGCCTTTGCCCTGAACAGCAGCGCCCATTCAATAAGTATCTGTTGACAGCTGGTGCCCCGGCCACGGGGACAAAAAGAGGACAGAGCAGGAGTGAGGCTGTGGTGAGGCCAAGGTTGTGTGGGCGGTGATACGGGGAAGCCTGGCTGCTGGAGTGTCCGGCTGTGCCCTGGATTGGGTGAGAGGGACACAGGAGGGACGTGGGGCAGAGGGAGGGGAGAGGAGTAGCCACTGTGTTCACCGTGTTGCCGTGTTCCAGGGCTGCCCAGTGGCCGGATTGGCCAGACTGTGTTGCATCAGGGAGGCAGAGGCCAGATGTAGGGAACTGTGTGTCTGAGGACTTTGTGCCACGTCCTGGACACCGAAGGGAGTGCCACTGGTGTGTGAGTGATGGAGTAAGAGGTGGGCTGTGTTTTGGAGGCCCCTGGGTATGTGTGGCCGGGACTGGAGGCCAGGGACTGGCTGTGGTCCAGCCCCAGCATGCAGAGAGGCCTGGGACATTCTGTGTGAGGGGAGGCCCCTCTGTGTGGGAGGTGCACAGACTTCCAGGACTGACCATGGCTTTATTGTCAGGATGCAGGAGCCAGGGCTTGGCATGGGGCAGGTGTGGGGGATGCAGAGCAGGGCCAGCAGGCAGGATGTGCTGATGGGGGCCTGGCGTGAGCAGGACGGTGCCTCCCAGCCCTGAGCCGCAGGGAGTGGGCCACCAGGACTGGCTGGGGGCCGGGGTAGGGAGGGCCCTGGGGAGGGTGGACATCTGTGTGGGTCTTGAACATAGGATGCCCATCCGATGTGCAGGGCCAGCTATTGGTTGGGCAGTGGGGACATGGCCTGGGGTCTCGGTGGGCGATGGCCTGGAGGGGCCACCCTGAGCAGGACATTTGGAGGAGTGCTGGGGTGAGTCAGACAGGACCATGTGGTGGTTTTCTCCAGTGCAGGCAGTGGAGGGGGAAGGCGGAGCTTTGCAGGTGAGGGCTTGAGGCAGTTCCGACTTCAGACTCCCCCCCAGGGAGACTGAGGGACCACCACCATCATTACTCAGGCCAAGGAGGCCCAGAACAGGGCAGACGGGGCTGCAAGAGTTCCTATGGCGATAGTTGTTGGGGCACAGGGTTGGTCGGATTTGAGGGAGGGAGGGTATGAATCTGGGAGTCGTTGGTGCGGTTGTACCCACCTTCACTTTCCGTCCCCAGGCTGCGCCTCTCCTGAGCTGCCGCATTCTCCCCTGCACCTGTGCGTCTGGCCCTCTTCACGTCCTCCTGGCCTGCTGTCTGCCTCTCCCCTGCACCTGTGCGTCTGTCCCTCTTCATGTCCTCCTTGCCTGCTGTCTGCCTGTTCTCAGAGCCCCTCAGCCCTCAGGCCTTCATCTCTCCTGGCCCATCTTCCTACTCTGACGCTGACATGTAGTAAAAGTCTGAAGACAGAGAAGAGTGCATGTGCGTTTAGCATAGGAGGGGCAGCTTTCAGTCAGTGCAGCAAGGGCATGTAGTTGTTCAGAGATGGTGCTGGAACGACTGATTTGGAGAAAAGAGGCCCTTCTTCACACCATCTGCTAAAATAAACCTCAGATGGGCTCAAGAGTTAAATATTTAAGAAAAGGAGGAAACAAAAAAATTGCTACAAGTTTATTTGTTGTTAGGATGGGAAAGGTTTTTCTAAGAACCAAGTTCATAATGAAGCTGTCAAATAAAATACTTGACAAAAAATTCCCCTTCATACATTAGCACAGCTAAAAACTATTAAATGGTAAATGCAACTAAAGAATTGCAGCTAAAGAATTGTGTGACGTAAAGAGTTGCAATAAGAAAAGCATAAGATAAAGGTAACCTCATGGAAGGTGAGCAGGGACTAGAAAGGCAGAGAAATGCCAGAGGCCAGGAGCTTGAACGTTGTTCAATGCCACCAACAATTTGAAAGTAACTGTAATAGTTTTGACCTGGGAAGTTGGCTGAGCAATCCTCTAATATCTGATGCTCCCGATGCTGAGGTTGTGGGGAAGTGTGCACCGCCATGCCCTTTTTTTGGCAGTGTAAATTGGTAAAGCCTTTTGAAGGAAAATAGGGCAGAATAAGTCAAAGAGCATTAAAATTTTTTTGTTTTTCCAGAAGCAGCAAAGTTCTGAAGGAGACGCAAGTAAAGATACCACAGGTGTCCTAGATTGTCAACAGACCATTTAATCATTTTTGTTAACAAAGCAGGTGACAATTGAGCCCTAATTTGCGTTATCATTAGTTGTTACAGGATCTTGCTTGTTCTCCTGAGGCCACGCCACGATTTCCGAGAAGCAGGTTGCACACTCAGCAGTCTCCCACTAGCCAGTGGCACTGCAGGTGCAGGGGCTGCCTCCTGGACCTTTCAGGACGCTTTGCAAGGTCACTGAGGATCTCCATTGCACATTTGGTAGAATTAAAAGACTGCCAGACTCAGTCTTACTGTTGTTAGTGTATTCGTGCTGTCAATATGTGATGAGGACATATTATATTCCGTTATTCTCTTTAGCTCAAGGAAGAATAAAGAATTTGGACCAAAATTACAACCACATTATGACGAATTTTCTAAGCAAAAGAAACAAAGTAACTGCTGAGGTTAACAAAGATGTAATAATTCTCTTCACACAGCCTTGTACTGTTTTATTGACTGTATTATCACAAATCCTGAGCTTAACGAAAGTCTTTATAAGTCAGCTCATGAAAACAGGCACGTGGCCAGTAAGAATTTAATTTCATACCAATAACACTTCAGACTTCGGATGTATTTAAGGCTGTTTGCACATATTTATAGAATGTGTGGTGTAGATGATGGGACAGCTCCCCCTCAGCAAGACTCTGGCCTAAATGTATTTGCTTTATTTACACAACAAGAGGATAAGCGTAAACACGGGCACTTTCAGTTTGTGGCACTGAAGGACGATCTACACAGGGCACCCTGCAGAGGCCACAACCAAGGCCGCCTGGCTTCCCAGTGGGACAGGCCTAAGGGAGGACTTCTGGCCCCTTTGCTTGATGTTCATGTTTTATGCCTTGATATTTCTTTTTGGTTGCATTCCCTGGAGCTCATGTAGATCATTTTACTTTTCAGAGGTGCTAGTTCTGGTGCCCACACGCACACACACAAAACCATCAACTCTTCTGGATTCCTTGGTTTTAAAGCTTGCCTCATACAAAGTACAGAGACATCTTTTTCAGGAAACATTGCCACCACATGCTTGAAGGACCGCTTATGGCTACACTTAGACATCTCCAACCAAGGTCTCTTCACCTCCTTCTACAACAATGCACTTTGTCTGCACTGGGACAAAAAATGACAGCCTTTTTTCTTTTCTTGTTTTTTTTTTTTTTTGGCGTGGAGCATTTCCGAACTTTCACGTCATAAAAAATGCAGCATAGTTAATCAGCAGCTTGCACTTCTGAGGGCACATTCACCTCGGGGGAGGAGGAAGGAGGAGGAGCTGGTGGGTGCTGAGACTGCAGTGTCCTCCTTCCCAGCAGCTGGACCCAGAGACCAGGCACCAAATTTTTTTGATGAAATTATCCTAAGGAAATAATCAAATTTGTACAGAAATTTATGTTAAAAAATGTTCATGGCAGCACCGTTTAAAATGGGGAGAAAATTGGAAACAACAGAATTGTAGCAATACATATGATCATTAAAAATTATGTTTTAGAAAGATTTTTAACAGTCTTTGGAAAAAGTTGGTGACATGTTGCTAGTTTTTAAAAAAAGTACAGAGTATGTACAGTATGATTCCAATTTTGTGTTTAAAAATTAGACATAGTGGTAACCTAGCTTCAGTTCCAGATAAGATGGAGAAGGCATACTCCTTTCATGTCTCCCACTGAATGCAGCTATAAATCCTGGAGAGTAGACAGGGAGAAACTATTTGAGGACTCTGGAACAAAGACATAGTAGCAATCGACTGGTGAAGAAGACAAGAATTTGAAGTACGGTCAAGTATCTGTGGGCTCCACATCTGTAGATACAACCTACATGTATTGAAAATATCAGAAAATAAAAATAACAATACAACAATAAACATCAATACAAATAACACACCAATACAGTATAGCAGCTACTTACATAACACTGACATTGTATTAGGTAGAAGTAATCTAGAGATGATTTAAAGTCTGTCGGAGGATGTGTGTAGCCTGTATGTAAAAACCACGTTATTTTATATGGGGGACTTTAGCATCCAAGGATTTGAATATCCACGGGGGTCCTGGAACAAGTTCCCCATAGACACCAAGAAACAACTGTATTCCTGAAACAGTCTTGAGTTATCATTTTCTTTCTTCTCCCTCTATGTATGTACATAGAGTGTACATACATAGAGTGAGAAGCAAAGAAGGTCCATGAAATGGACCAATTCTTTTGAAAACTGCAAATTACCACAGTTCATCTAACATGAAATAGATAACCTGAATGGTCCAATAACTAGTAAAGATATTGAATTAATAGTTTAAAAACCTTCTGAAAGGTAAATCTCTACCCTAAATGATTTCACTGGTGAATTCTATCAACACATTTAATGAAGAAAAAACTCCAGTTCTAAACAACTTTCAGAAAAGAAGAGGGAACACTTCCTCACTCATTATATGAGGTAAGCATTGCCCTAATACCAAAACCAATGTTAACACAAAATATGAAACCTACAGACCAATAACCCTCATGAACATAAATGTAAAAATCCTCAAGAAAACATTAGCAAATTTAAACCAGCAGGATATAAAAGGAATAATAATACACCATAACAAAAAAAGAAACTATCCTTGGAATGCAAGGCTGGTTCAATATTTGAAAATCAATCAGTGTAATCTACCATATTAACAGTCTGAAGAAGAAAAATCATGATTATATCAATACAGAAAAAAATTGACAAAATTCAACATCAGTTCATGATAAAATTCTCAGCAAACTAGAAAGGGAAGGAAATTTAACATGACATAGGACATCTACAAAAAAACCTACAGAAAATCCTAAGGAGTCTATGAGAAAATTTCCTAAAACTAGTAAGTGAGTTTAACAAGATCACAGAGTGCAAGGTCATCATACAGAAGTCATTTTTATATCTTAGCAATGTACAATTAGAAATTAAAGAATATCACAGTAGCTTCAAAAATATGAAAGGCTTAGAAATCTAACAAAATGTGATCTGGATGCTGAAAATGATGAGATGATAATGAAAGAAACCCCAGAAAACCTAAATAAATGGAGAGATAAGAAGGCTCAACCTAGTAAAGACGTATGTTCTTTTTAAATTGATCTGTAGACTTAATAAAATTCCAATTAGAATCCAAGCAGGATTTGTTCTTATAGATAAGCTCATTATGAAATGTATATGGAATGTAAAGGAACTAGTGCTATGGTTTGTCCCCACCAAATCTCATGTTGAAATTTGATCCTCAGTGTGGTGGTGTTGGGAGGTGGGGCCTAGTGGGAGGTGTTTGGGTCATGGGTGTGGATCCCTCATGAATAGATGAATGCCCTTCCTCGTGGGTAGATAAGTGAGTTCTAGCTCTTTCAGGTCCCAACAAGAGCTGGTTGTGAAAAAGAGCCTGGCACGCCCACTTGCCTCTGCTCCCACCCTGTGGTCTCTGCACGTGCCAGCTCCCCTTTGCTTTCCACCGTGAGGGGAAATAGCCTGAAGCCCTCACTGGATGCCCAATCCTGAACTTTCCCAACCAGCAGAACCATGAGCCAAATAAACCTCATTTCTTTATAAATTACCCAGCCTCAGATATTCCTTTTTGGCAACACAAAAATGGACTAAGAGAACTAGAGTAGCTGATAGAATTTTTTAAAAGAAGGGTAAAGTTGGAGGAACTATACTACTTGATTTTGAAGCTACAGTAATCAGGACAATGTGGTGAAGGGACAGACACGTAAGTCAATGGAATGGAGACGAGAGATTTCTACAAATATGGTCAATGGGTTTTTTTTAACAAAGGTACAAAAATCAATTTAATGGAGAAAAGACAGTCTTTTCAGCAAATGTTACTGGAATAGTTGTCATCCATATCTAAAAAACAACACCTCAACCTCACATCTCATACACAGCTGAACTTAAAATTGATCATAGATCTAAGTGTGTGAAATGTAAAACTATAAACCTCCTTGAAAAAATCATAGAAAATCTTCATCACCTGGACTTGGGCAAAGACTTTTTACTCTAAAAGCGTGATCCATAGCAGAAAATGTTGATAAATTGAATTTCATCAAAACTAAAAATGACTGCTCTGCAAAAGGATGATGCTAAGAGAATAAAAAAGACAAGCTAAGATTAGGAGAAAATATTGCAAAGAACATATCCAGTGTGTGTTCTGAATATACAGAGAAATCTCAAAACTCAACAGGAAGAAAACAAGCCAATTGAAAATGGGCAAAATACTTGAACAGACACTTTACCAAAGTGGATATACAGATATCAAATACACACATGAAAAGATGTTCAGCATAGCCATCAGGGAAATGCACATTAAAGCCACAGTGAGATATCACTTACACCCATTGAAAAATGACTACAATAAAAAAAAAATCTGATAGTAATACCAACTGTCATCGAGGATGAGGAACAGCTGAAAGTCATGCATTGCTGGAGGGAACATGCCACTGTGGAAACAGGTGGGTGCTTTCTTATAGACTTGTATGTGCACTCACCTTATGCCCAGGAGTCCCTCTCCTGTGTGTTCAACCCAGAGATATGCAAGCTGTGTTCACACAAAAACCTGTATGTGAATGATTATACTAGCTCTCTTTATAATTGCAAAAAAAAAAAAAACAAAACCTGGAAACAACCCAAGTGTCCTTCATCTGGATAATCCTTAAGGATAAACTGGTGCGTCCACACAGTGGAATACCACTGAGCAGTGAAGAGGAGCCAGTTATTGAAACAGGTAATTTGGAGGAACCCCAGAAACGGTACAGTGAGTGAAAGAAACTTGTCTTGAAAGGTTATGTACTGTTTGGTTCCATTTGTATGATATTCTCAAAAAGACACAAGACCATGGGGATGGAGACCAGATCGGTGGCTGGAGAGGCTGGGGTCGGGGAGGGCATGACCACCAGAGAAAAGGGTGAAGAGTGTTTTGGGTGGCAGAGCTGTGTGTATGCTGGCTGTGGTTGTGAGGACAAAATCCACACAAGCGCTCAAGTTCGTAGGCTGTACGCCAGAAAAGCTGTTTCACTACATAACTGAAAAAATAAGATTGAAAAATAAGATGTATATATTTTTTGTGTGCGTGTGTAGAAAAATACTTGAAGGTAAACTGCAGAGTGATAACAGTGGTTCCTTCTAGGTACTGGGTTAATATGTGATTTTTATGTTTGTTTGAGCTTTTCTAAGTTTTCTACATTTTCCGTACAAAACATGTATTACTTCTGTAATAAAAGCAGCTTGAGATTATTTAAGGAAGCAAAACACTTCTGTTGTTTCTCATCAACTACAGGATGAAGTGCAGGCTCCCTGGGTGGTTTGCAGGGGCCACAGGCCTTGGCCCCACCTCGCTGGTGCTCCCTCTACTCCTTTCTGTGTTTGAAGCAAGTTCTGGTTCAGACAGAAAGCCTGGCCTTTGAGGGCGTTGGGTCCCCACTTCCTCAGTCATAGATGTGATGTGCTTCCCTTGACTTGGGACCTTCTGAGGGATGCAAGGTGGACCAAAGGACCCGTGAATGGCCAGGGCATGCCTGCGTGGCTTTCGGTTTCTTAAGCAGTGATTTCAGTCCACTTAAAGGGTGTGAAAATTCTGAGAATGCTACGGACCAAATATATTTTATGTAACAGTTGGGACCCGGCAACACTTCAGGGCTCTTTCAAAATCTGGTAGCTACGAGCTCTTCCGTGACTGAGATGGGACAAGAGTGAAGATTTGTCCTTGCTTTTAGCTCTGCTCCAGTTCATAGTTCTAATGGGAAATTATGTGACTTAAACCCAGGCTGTGAGATGCATCAGTGACGTGTGGGCATAAAATAAACCCTCGAGATGTTCTCTTGCATGGTACACTGGCCTAGGCAGGAATATTCTTGAGGCTAAAACTGTAGAACTGTCAGACTAGTGTTACGAATGTGGTGGTGAGAGGCCTGTGCAGCCGCGGGGCCTGTGATGTGTCTCCTGTGTGTCTTTCACTCCTATGCAGTTTGAGTTCATGATCGAGTCCATCCTGTATGCCCGGGATGCCTGGCTGAAGGAGGACGGGGTCATTTGGCCCACCATGGCTGCGTTGCACCTTGTGCCCTGCAGTGCTGATAAGGATTATCGTAGCAAGGTGCTCTTCTGGGACAACGCGTACGAGTTCAACCTCAGCGCTCTGAAGTAAGTGTCCACAGCTGGGACTGGCACCGTCTTGTGGGGCCTCCTGGTCCACAGTCTGCAGGTGGGCCAAGGCCCTGGGAGATCCCATACGACGGTTGGATAAATGAGGGTACCTGTGCACCCAGATAGGACAATCTGTTGTAGCATTGGAGTAATTAAAGCAGTATGGTGCTATAACAAGACAGATGGGCAGAGCAGGGTAGAATGCAAGGAACAAAAATTTTCGTATGTGAAAAAGGTGGCATTACGATTAGGAGGGAGTGAGGGCCAAGTCAGCAAATTATTCTGGAGCAGTTGATTAGCCCTTGTTCTCTCACGCCATACGTGAAAACTTAATTCTGCATGGAATCAGCGTCAGCGACAGACATCCATGGGGGCCTGTGTGCACCATCTTAGGTGGAGAAATGAGCAGCAACAATGGATGGAATGGACCCTGGGCTAGATAGAATCTGGCAGTCTATGTGGCAGAAATCAGCAAAAACACGATTGTAAAAGCAAACAAGTAATTAGAGAAATCACGTGCTGTCAGGTCTTGGAATCAATTAGAAAGAGATGACTAGCCAGATGGAATTGCAGCCCAATCATGTGAACAGGCAAACCGCAAAAAATAAATAAAATTACCAATAAATATATGAAAAATTATAATGTTGTTAGTAGTTAAAATGCGAATTAAAATACATGCTGTTTTCCCTACCAGACAAGCAAAGAGTAAATTAAAATAGTAGCCCAGGCTTGCCTGGCAGTGGCAGGGAGGTGTGGCTGCCAGGGCCTTAGAGGTTGGCATCAGGCTGCCCACCCCAGTCACTGCCAGAGCCTCCCACCTGAGTGTTCCTCCCGGCACTGGAAGCCAGTGGCCGTCCAGAGGAACGTGATTGAATTGCTGTATATCCATCTGGTGGAGCACTGCTGTGTGTCTGTTAAAAAAGAAACCATAGGTTTTTAGGGATATGTAATGATATTTAGAAAGGGTTTAAGAGACAGTAAAGCTTGGCAGAATAAACCGTGTATACAGAATGGATGTTTGCTTGCATAAATAAATTTATATAAATATGTCTGGGGGATAAAAATAAGTATATCACAATGCTAAGACAGGCATATGGGGAATTTAAGCTTTTCTTTATACTTGTCCATAGTTTCCAATTTTTAAATTTGTAATTTTTTATCAGAAAAATAAATGTGTAAATATAGTGGAATCTTTATTAAAACATTCACTTTTATTTGCTATTTCAGAAGTTACTGCTTTGCTTATTTTTTACAACATTTCTGTGGTAAATAATCGGTGACTTACAAGCCTAGTGCAGCCAGTGATGGGGGTTGGCAAACGGTGACATGCAGGGGCCATGCGGCGTCTAGTGTCTGTTTCTGTGTTGAATTTGTGTAGCAACAGAGCAAGTATTTCTCCTGAAACTCAGACTCACTCAGGCCACCTCAGCCCTTCTAGTTCCTTTCGTTTATTATAGAGTAACCTACAGCAGGAATACCGCGTTCATTTACTGTTAATAGAAGATCCACAAAAGATTTTGAAATCAAATACATTCTAAAACTAGGCAAGACACGCTGCAACTCCCCTTGTCCTCTGGGTTATGAGGGGTGAGCGTTGGTTTCCGTGTGCTCAGATCCCATGAATGAGACCTCACAGGGAAGCGCCCAGTGACTGGCAGGCTCCTTAATGCCTCCAGGTCAGGCTCAGGAAGTCTCTGGATGCCTGGGTAGAGTCTGGGTCTTCTCAGAGCGGGAGGCACCCAGGGCCTGTGGAGGCCTGAGGGCTGCTCTGGGGTTCCAGGGCCCCAGATAGTGGCTTAGCATCCTGGTGACACAGAAGGGAGAGCACTCACCGCGGTCCCACGTGTGTGTTTTGAAGCCTAAGATGTTTGCAATGACTCTCAACAGTCGCTTTGACCTTTTCCCCTAGATCTTTAGCAGTTAAGGAGTTTTTTTCAAAGCCCAAGTATAACCACATTTTGAAACCAGAAGACTGTCTCTCTGAACCGTGCACTATATTGCAGTTGGACATGAGAACCGTGCAAATTTCTGATCTAGAGGTGAGAAAAAGATGAATTGCTCCTTACATTCGATAATCAGTGACCACGAAACACTCAGACCAGAGCCTGGCTTATCAAAAACCTTCAGTGAGTGCTGGGGGTGTGAGTGAATAACTAATTATTTTATTATGCAAATAAGTGAATTTATAAAACGTTTGCTACTGATTTTTTCCAGTCTTTTTTCTTTTTTACGTTCTATTTTGATTCTTTCATATTGTACACCATTTTATGTCTCCAGCGTCTTCATTTTAGATTTATGTTTAATATTCTCAGCATCTTCAAAATCAAATAAATTATATTTCGTTTCATTATGGTATTTGCATTACAGTTTTTTTCAAGTATTTTAAGCCACTCTTCATGACAGAATCGTTAGAATTCCCTCCGTGAATCCCTGTCTGTGGCCGCGCGGTGGCGCTCGTGGGCTCTGGGCGGTTTCCCCGCGCCCCCGCCCTGCCTGGCGCCCCAGCTGGCGCCGCGTCTGGAGATGGGGCGGGCGCGGTGGCGCCGGCGCGCTTTGGTTTTTAGTTCGTTCTGCTGTGGAAAGGCCCAGCCTGGAGCTCTCCAACTCCTTAACTGGAAGAGCTGAGCGCCGAAAAGATTCCGCAGAATCTGGGGTAGAAAATTGGGCGCAAGAAGCTCAGATGCTTGAAACGTTTCTGACTGAAGCCTCTGAACTCACGATGCGGGTTTTGGGGGTGGTTTCCCCAGGCTGGGGGGCTTTTCTACGGTTCCTGACGCATTCAGCGTCTGCGCGGGGCGCGTGGAGGGGGCCGCCCCAACCCGGGCCCTGCGGTGCCACGCGGTGCCCACGCGTGCCTTGTCATCTGCTTGACCCAGACCCTGAGGGGCGAGCTGCGCTTCGACATCAGGAAGGCGGGGACCCTGCACGGCTTCACGGCCTGGTTTAGCGTCCACTTCCAGAGCCTGCAGGAGGGGCAGCCGCCGCAGGTGCTCAGCACCGGGCCCTTCCACCCGTGAGTGTGCGGGGCGCGGGCACGGGGTGCGGGGTGGGGGGCAGGGGAGTAGGCGGGGTGCGGGGATGGGGCGCGCAGGAGGGGGTGGGACGCGGCGTGGCGGTCGTGGGGGGGTGGGGCACGTGGGGGCGCGGGCAGTGGGGTGGGGGCGGCGCGCATGGGGGCACGGGTGGTGTAGACACCGCAGCCTGTGTGCCCCCTTCCGGGTCTCGCCACCACTCTGGGCCCAGCCTGGGCGTCCCTCCGACAACAGCCCCAACGGGAGGAGCTCCCTGTCTTCCACCCCGCGAGGAGCACCACAGCTCTTCATGGTCTGACCCAAAGCGCCTCCACGGGGCGTCGGGGTTCACCTGACGTTTTTGGAGGTGCCTGTTTTTTGGGACACATTTCCCCGCCAGCACCCTGGGCATGTGTGGCAGTGGAGCTGCCTTCAGGGCCCTGCAGGCCTTCCCTTTGGGTGGGGTTGGCTACCCCGCTCTGGCACCTGCCCCGCTGACTTCCCAGCGTGGTGGCCCCGCGAGGGGACCCCGGCTCCAGGGAGGTCGCAGAGGTGCGGGGTTGATGGCCTGGCCTGGCATGTGGTCCCCATCACAAGAGTCCTGTGGTGGCCCCTCCAGTGCCATCACCGGGTGGAGGTGGGCAGCTTGGAGGCCAGTTATACCCATCCCCGAGTCTGGGGGCGTGGAGGGGGCAGTGACCTGGGGCACAGGCTGGGGTGAGGGGTGTGACCAGAGTCAGGGAAAAACTGGAGACCTGAGGAGCCCCCCACTTCACTGCTGGCCCCACCGTGGACAGTGGGAGTTTGAGGGAAGACAGAGCCTGAGGAACTTAGAGATGTTTCCAACGCAACCCAGTGCAGAATCATAGCGTTTTACTATTTCCCCCCAAATGTGACAGTTGTCCTCACCTTGTAACCTTCACAGAAGCGACTCCTTGGACCTGATTCTGTCTGTGTACACCACAGTTTAACAGCAGGAGCTAGATCACCAGCCTCTGCAGCTTAGGCAAGGGTGCAGGAAGGGGTTGCACAGCCGTCCTCCTGGCGGGCCGGGGAGTCGACACCACACGGGACCTTTAGTGCAGCTGTGTGTCCCCTGAGCTCCCGCATCCTCTGGGCCACCCAGGGTGAGCCGTCCACACCTCCTGGAATCTGAGTGGTCTCAGGAGCAAGCTTGTGTTTGGCATTGGCAGGATCTGTCTCACTAGCGTAACTTTGATCCCAGTGTATCCCATAGAGTCCCTTTAGATCACAGGGCTGGGGGTGTATATGTTCCCTGAGTTAGCCTGAAAAGCCAAGCTTTGTGTCCCCAGGCCCTCAGGGTGGACTGCCGGCTGTGTGGGTGCTGTTGGGGGCGAGAGCCAGTGCGAGCCTGAGTCAGCGCCCCGAGGGCCATGTGGAGACTGCCCTAGCTCAGCCTCCAGGTCACACGCACCCCTGTCTTGCAGCACCACACACTGGAAGCAGACGCTGTTCATGATGGACGACCCAGTCCCTGTCCATACAGGAGACGTGGTCACGGGTTCAGTTGTGTTGCAGAGAAACCCAGTGTGGAGAAGGCACATGTCTGTGGCTCTGAGCTGGGCTGTCACTTCCAGACAAGACCCCACATCTCAAAAAGTAAGATACGTAGTTGTAAGATTCTGTCCTGTGGGTGCCGGTCCTCAGGGAGACAGGCCTGGGTGGTGGTAGTGATGGCAGATGCTGGCCCACACTGGGGTCCACGCCTTTTGTGCAGGAGTGATTTAATCCTTACACAGAAAGCGCCTGTTGTCATTGGCTTCATTTCCCATCTGACAGCACGGGAAGTGGAGGGCTCTGGAAGGGAAGTCAGGGAAGTCATTCCCTCAGGTGACACGGTAAGTGAGGGAGAGCAGAGACCCACATCAGCCTGAGGCCCCTTGTGCCATGTCCAGAGGGTCCCCCAGATGGACAGAAGCCTGAGCTGTGCCTTGGCGCTCCCTTTACACAGGCCTCTGTGGCTTCCCAGGCAGCAGTTAGTCTAGGCGTGTCGTCTGTGATGCGTGTTCTGACTGGCAGCCTTCGGATCCGTGTGTGAATTCATGTGTAGCTCGCCCAGCTCACTTGGGCTTCCTGTCTCAGAGGCTGCTGAAAATGGAATGTTCTTCTTTGGGCTCAGGATTAATGTGGCAAAGAAAATAAAAATAAATGGTTTTCCTTCATTTTTTATATTTGTTTTGTGCTTTGCTTTGTGATAAGTTTTTGTTAAAAGTTTGTCATTTAAAAAAATTCTGCACCTGAATACTGTTCTCTTGTCCAATATTAAACCATTAGGAAATGTAGTATGTTAATCAAATGATTTATCATCTGATTGACCTGTTGTCATTTATCTTTTTCAGGTTGGAGAAAAAGTCTTCCCCATCTGGAGATGACAGTTGATGCTTTATTTGGAAAGCAGTGTGCATATCTTGAGGGGTGATGAACACAAGCAAACCAAGTTGCACCTGGCTTCTGCACACTCCTGCGAAAGTCGGTGAACATTCACTCCACATTGACCCCTCCCTAGCCTGGCAGGTGACGTCAGGGTCCTTCACAGACAAACACGCTTGGGCTCGGCAGGAGCTGCCGTGGCCACCCCCGCTGCCCAGTGTCTGCCCTCTAGAAGTAGGCTGTGTTTCCAGGTGTTCACCCGTGGTGCCCACAGTGCCGACCCGTGGCTGGGTCGGAGCTCCATGTTCCTAAGCTAGGTCTAGGTCTACACTCCTAGGACGCACGCATATCAGCCCGTGTACCCTGTGACAGTGACTGTCCCCACCTCCTATGTTAGTGGTGCCCTTACTGCCGTCGCTCATCCACTCGTGTGGGACGTAGGATTGCACAGGGCTGTGCCAGTGGCGTGTAGGGAACACTGCCCTGGCTCAGCGTGCGAGCTAAGGTGGTGATGTATGCGATGGGACTCTGCATGGGATAGTACAGTTGTGTAGACGTCTTCCAAATAAATTATGTGTTGGTCCATCGCACATGCTCAATAAATATTTTTAAATGAGTGAATGTCATTGTGTATCCTGTTTTATGCATATATGTTATTTTTTGTAATTACAGGATCATACTATATGCATTGCTTTATAAGTTTTTCTCAATATTGTGAAAAAACTTCCACATCAGTAGATACATGTCCATAATTTTTTTTTGTATTGTTTTGATTTTTATTAAATTTTATTGAAATATAGGCTGGGTGCAGTGGCTTACCTCTGTAATCCCAACACTTTGAGAGGCTGAGGTGGGATGATTCCTTGAGCTCAGGAGTTCAAGACCACCCTGGGCAACACAGCGAGATACTATCTCTACAAAAAAAATAGAAAAATTAGCTGGGCATGGTGGCGTGTGCCTGTAGTCCCAGCTACTCGGGAGGCTGAGGCGGGGGGATCACTTGAGCCCAGGAGGTTGAGGCTGCAGTGATCTAGGATTGCACTGCTGCACTCCAGCGTGGGTGACAGAGCAAGACCCTGTCTCAAAAACCCCAAAAAACAAAACTGAAATATCAAATATATATTGAAAACAGTGCTAGTCATGGGTACATAGATGATGGCATTTTATAAAGTGGACGCACATGTAACCAGCATCCAGGCCAGGACACACTACAGATTCCCCGATTCCCCTTCCACTCAGTGCCCACCCTCTCAAGGGTGATGTCCTGACTTGTAACTGTCGATTACTCTTGCCTGAATGGAGTTGTACACGTGTTCTTTTGTGTCTGCCTTCTTTAATTAAACATTGTTTGTGAGACTCATCTATGAATTTTAGACAGTGTGGTTGTGGTTGACTTTTTCATTGTGGCATAGTATTCAACTGCATGAATAGACCACAGTTTATGATCTTGTTTCACATGGTGTCCTTTTGGGTTGTTGCCATGGTTTAGCTATGATGATTACTGAGACTGTGGACATTTCTGTGTATGTGTTTTGGTGCATGTATGTACACATTTCTGTTGGGTGTACACTGTATACCAGGTTTTCAAGTCAAGGAATCTAATATCCCTGCCAGCTGTGCATGAGAGTTGGCATCCTCGTCAACACCCAGTATTGTGTTTTGCATTTTACCTGCTCTGGTGGGCGTGTGGATTTGGTATACATTTCATTGATGACTAATCCAGTTTTGTAGATTTGCCGCTCATTTTGGATATCCTGTTTTTGAGGTGCTTGTTTAAGTCTTTGGCCCATTTTACTATTAGGGTTTTTTTTTTTCTATTTCTAATTGAGATTCCAGGTGTTCCTGATATAATTTGGCTGAGTCCTGTAACACATATATTTTTGTGAATAAATCTTTTCCCTTTCTGTGGCTTTTTTTTTTTTTTTTTTTTTTTTTTTTTTTTAATCAAGCATCAAGCTGTGAAGAAGCTGTGTCAGTATTTTCTTTTTTTTTTTTTTCTTCGAGACGGCGTCTTACTCTGTTGCCCAGGCTGGACTGCAGTGGCGTGATCTCAGCTCATTGCAACCTCTGCCTCCCGGGTTCAAGCGATTCTCCTACCTCAGCCTTCCAAGTAGCTGGGATTACAGGCATGCACCACCACACCTGGCTAATTTTTGTATTTTTGTAGAGACGGGGTTTCACCATGTTGGCCAGGCTGGTCTCAAACTCCTGACCTCAGGTGATCTGCCCACCTTGGCCTCCCAAAGTACTGGGATTACAGGCGTGAGCCACAGTGCCCAGCCTGTGTCAGGATTTTCTGTCATGGACATGGAGGCTGGTGGTCTGGGTGCAGTTTCATACATGGTTATTAGAAAAGGCATCTCATCCAAATGTGGTGGCTCGTGCTTGTAATCCCAGTGCTTCAGGAGGCCAAGGGAGGAGGATTACTTGAGCCTAAGAGTTTGAGACCAGCCTGGGCAACACAACAAGACCTTGCCTCTACAAAAAACTTAAAAACTAGCTGGGTATGATGGTGCACACCTGTAGTCCCAGCTACTTGGGAGGCGGAGGCGGGCAGATCGCCTGAGGTCAGGAGTTCGAGACCAGCCTGGCCAACATGATGAAACCCCGTCTCTACTAAAAATACAAAAATTAGCCGAGTGTGGTGGTGCATGCCTGTAATCCCAGCTACTCAGGAGGCTGAGGCAGGAGAATCACTTGAACCCGGGAGGCGGAGGTTGCCATGAGCCGAGATCACGTCACTGCACTCCAGCCTGGGTGACAGAGCACAAAAGACAGGCATGACTTTGTACTTAACTGCTCAGCTTTGTAATCACTGGGGGCCCAGATGCTCACTTGGATTCTAACTTTGTTGGCATCTGGGCCTAAAAGCCGTGATGCAGGTGAGCAATGATGCAGAGGGCTCTGTGCGCCTGGCGGGCTCTGTTTGCCTGCTGGGCTCTGTGCGCCTGCTGGGCTCTGTGCGCCCGGGAAGGTGCGGCCACCCTCACGCGGAAGGCGGCCAGCGGATCCCGGTGCGCGCAGCTCCCAGCGCTGGGGTTCCAGCGCCCCGCCTCTTCCTATAGCAACCAGCGGGACCTGCCGTCCCCCGGGGCACCCCGAGGGGTCTGCGCCCGCTTCTTTCCGAAACGGGAAGGCGCTGGGGGCTCGGCAGCCAGAGGGACGGGTTCAGGGAGCGTCCGGTGAGCCTAAGACGCGCCTTTGCCGGGGTTGCCGGGTGTCTGCCTCTCACTTAGGTATTAGGAACCGTGGCACAAATCTGTAGGTTTTCCTCTGGGGGTGGGCGGAGGCTCCAAACCGGACGGTTTTCTCCTGGAGGACTGTGTTCAGACAGATACTGGTTTCCTTATCCGCAGGTGTGCGCGGCGCTCGCAAGTGGTCAGCATAACGCCGGGCGAATTCGGAAAGCCCGTGCGTCCGTGGACGACCCACTTGGAAGGAGTTGGGAGAAGTCCTTGTTCCCACGCGCGGACGCTTCCCTCCGTGTGTCCTTCGAGCCACAAAAAGCCCAGACCCTAACCCGCTCCTTTCTCCCGCCGCGTCCATGCAGAACTCCGCCGTTCCTGGGAGGGGAAGCCCGCGAGGCGTCGGGAGAGGCACGTCCTCCGTGAGCAAAGAGCTCCTCCGAGCGCGCGGCGGGGACGCTGGGCCGACAGGGGACCGCGGGGGCAGGGCGGAGAGGACCCGCCCTCGAGTCGGCCCAGCCCTAACACTCAGGACCGCCTCCAGCCGGAGGTCTGCGCCCTTCTGAGGACCCTGCCTGGGGGAGCTTATTGCGGTTCTTTTGCAAATACCCGCTGCGCTTGGACGGAGGAAGCGCCCACGCGTCGACCCCGGAAACGAAGGCCTCCCTGATGGGAACGCATGCGTCCAGGAGCCTTTATTTACTCTTAATTCTGCCCGATGCTTGTACGTGTGTGAAATGCTTCAGATGCTTTTGGGAGCGAGGTGTTACATAAATCATGGAAATGCCTCCTGGTCTCACCACACCCAGGGTGACAGCTGAGATGCGGCTTCTCCAGGGTGGAGCCTCCTCGTTTTCCAGAGCTGCTTGTTGAAGTCTTCCCAGGGCCCCTGACTTGCACTGGAAACTGCTCACCTTGGCATCGGGATGTGGAGCAAGAAATGCTTTTGTTTTCATTCATCCTAGTGTTCATAAAATGGAAAACAAATAAGGACATACAAAAACATTAATAAAATAAATTAATGGAACTAGATTTTTCAGAAAGCACAACAAACACAAAATCCAAGTATTGCCATGTCAGCAACACATTCCTACTTTAAGTTTTATGAAGTTAATTGGAGTAGTGGAGAACAAAAGTGGATGTGGGGCAGATCTGCGTCCTGCATGTGTCTTGCAGCCAGACTGTTCCAGCTGTTGCAGACCTCAAAATAGAGAGGACCCAGGTTTTCTGATTTTGCCTTCTTTTTTTTTTTTTTAAATTTATTATTGTTATACTTTAAGTTTTAGGGTACATGTGCATGATGTGCAGGTTAGTTTCATATGTATACATGTGCCATGCTGGTGTGCTGCACCCACTAACTCGTCATCTAGCATTAGGTATATCTCCCAGTGCTATCCCTCCCCCCTCCCCCCACCCCACAACAGTCCCCAGAGTGTGATGTTCCCCTTCCTGTGCCCATGTGTTCTCATCGTTCAATTCCCACCTATGAGTGAGAATATGCGGTGTTTGGTTTTTTGTTCTTGCGATAGTTTACTGAGAATGATGATTTCCAATTTCATCCATGTCCCTACAAAGGACATGAACTCATCCTTTTTTATGGCTGCATAGTATTCCATGGTGTATATGTGCCACATTTTCTTAATCCAGTCTATCATTATTGGACATTTGGGTTGGTTCCAAGTCTTTGCTATTGTGAATAGTGCCGCAATAAACATACGTGTGCATGTGTCTTTATAGCAGCATGATTTACAGTCCTTTGTGTATATACCCAGTAATGGGATGGCTGGGTCAAATGGTATTTCTAGTTCTAGATCCCTGAGGAATCGCCACACTGACTTCCACAATGGTTGAACTAGTTTACAGTCCCACCAACAGTGAGAGGACCCAGGTTTTCTAAGACCAAGTCGCTACACTCTTAACTGCAGTGGGTGGAGTTTGGGGATGGACTTCTCCTCAGCTCCCTGCTGCCGCTCTCCAGCGTCCCCGGGTGCAGACCCTCTGCCGCCACAGCTGGAGACTCCCAAAGGAGGCAAGCAAGCCTCAGCGATCCCAGGAGGCCCCATCGGCCCTTCCCAGGCTTTCCTCTCTTTAAGCTCCTCCTCCTTCTTCCCTTTCTTCAGAATCGAATCTAGGCAAGGATTTCACAGTCTGAGCTTTGACCAAGGACAGTAACTGGGTCCAGGGATGGAAAACTTTGCTTCTAGGTCCCGTTTTGCTACAGCCTTGCAAGAGGACTGTGATCAGGCCTCAGTTTCCGTCTCTCTAAACTGAGGAGTGCTCTGCGGGGATCTCTGCCTCCTTTACAATATTTCCTCCAGTGATGTCTTCATTATTAGAGCTGCTGACTTCAAATGACATTTCATAATGTTGTCCCTCTCTGTTGTGTCATCCAGAGTCGTTTTTCTTCTTATATCTTGAAAATAGATAACTAAGATAATATGAATATCAAACTGAGCCCCTTTCTTCGGATTTTGTAACAAGGAAAATTCCTAGTAATGATGAAGTAACTAAATGAATCTGGATGTGAGCTTTATTTTATGATTGGATTAGGGTATATCCATGAGCCTTGGACTTATCTAAAACTTTAATTAATCTAAAATTATGCAGTGTTCATTACTTAGCAAAGGTATCATGGCTTGGTGTCTAGCATTCTTGGTAGAAAGCCATCGCTGTGTTAGGGAGTGTTGGCTGTTTATTGAGGCCATCGGTGAGGCAATGCAAGACAGACAAATGTGGCTTCAGTACTACTAATATGACAGCAGACAGCCACCAGCTGGAAAGGTGTATTGAGATTGTAAAGATGTGCTCCTTCCCGAGGCCAGGGACCAGGGCCACTTACAGTCCCACAATCATCTTTTTGAACTGTAAATCTGAATTCCTTTCCCCATGACAAAGTTGGGCAGGGAACCATCAAACTGGGATTCTGGAAATCAGGATGGGGGAGCAGAGAATCCTGCACCCTCACAAACCCCTTTTGCTGTGTTTGCTCCTGGTGCAAGTTCTCACTTCTTCATGGCTTGGGGGCTGAGCAGAGTTCCTGGGGGTGTTTGTGCTACCTCAGCTCTCTGTTCCCACTGCTTGGAGCCGGAGAGGAGGCAGGGATAGAAGTCATGGATTAAAGGTCTGGAGACAGGGCAGGAAGAACGGCAAGATTCAGAGGAAAATGTTTGTTTACAGCCAGAATCAATTGATAGGCATCCACACAGCGTTGGGGAGAATGATGCAGCACAGTGCCCTGGCCTGGCACGCAGGAGCCTATGACCGTTCCGTCCCCTGAGCCAGCTCAGGCTCCTCACCCCCACCCTCAGAATGTGGGCTTTCATGGCTGCTCCATCCTGGGCCACAGCCCTTCACCAGGCTCCTCTCTGGCAGGGCCACAGAGAATAAAAGGGAGCAGAAACCACATCCTGCACACAGATAGAACCTGCATCAGCCAAAGTGTCCATCTGACCAAGGGTCTCCCTTCCGCACTGCCCAGGGGGCTACAACATGTTGTTTGGACCACGGTTACTATACCTGACTCTCTTTAATTTTTTGGCTCAAATTGTTTTCTCTCCTTGATTAGATTAGGTACCTTGGTAATAGTTACGTTTGTCTGGAACCTAGAGGTTGCAAGATCATGAAACTGCAGTTATACCTTCCCAGAGGGGTTGATGGCATCCTCAGATCCTCGACTTGTGGAATGACCTGTGTGGATCTGACTCTAGGCCATCTCCCATTGGAAGAGGAGGAAGGCTTTTATGGTTGAAAGAAGGACCATTGCATTATAATAGGTGCAGTCATTTTGGAATTCTCGGTATGGGGAGAGGCATGTGCTTGTGTATGTGCACACATGCATACTTGCTCAGGAACCAAGGGGGTGGCCTACAGTGACATATGTCATGATTTTTGTTTATTCTGCTGCTGTATTCATTTTCAATTGCTGTTATAACAAATTACTACACACTTTGTGCCTTAAAAGAACACAAATTTATATTTTTACAATTCTGCAGACCAGAGGTCCAGCAGGGTCTAAAATCAAGGTGCCAGCAGTGCTGTGTTTGTTCCTGGAGGTTCTAGGGGAGAATCACTTCCCGCACATTTGGGCTGTGGGCAGAATTCAATTCCTTGTGGTTGTAGGACGGAGGTTGCCATTTTCCTGCTGGATGAGGGCCATTCCCAGCTTCTAGAAGCCATCTGCATGCCTTGGTTTGAGGACCCTTCGACTATCTTCAAAACCAGCAAGGGTAGGTCAGACCCTTCTCACAGGCTCTTCTTCCTTCCTTTTTATGGACTCATCTCATTAGGTTTGCAGCCACTTGAATAATCCCAGATCATTTCTCTATTTTAAGGTCAGCTGATCAGGTCAACTGAATTCTACCTATAACCTTAATTATTTTTTGCCATGTACGGTAACGTATGCATAGATTCTGGGGATTAGTATGGAGACATACTAATTACACTGTAGCTAGATATTTGTGTCGGAGGGGGGGCATTATTCTGTACCTAGAAGAGAGGGGATTTGTGGGGCTGCAGGGTGTGTACATGTTCAGTGTTAACTGATTCTGCTAAGTGGTTTTCCAAAGAGGCATGCCCACTAAACACTATTCTCTTTCATTGGTCTGTTTATTTATTCTCATGTCCATATCATACTGTTTGAATTACTGTCTTGATATCTAGTATTCTAAATATTCTTACTTCGTTATTCTTTGAAATTGTGTTTGCTATTTTAGCCTTTTGCATTTCCATATAAACTTTAGAATCAACTGGCTAATTTCCATAAAAATAACTGCTGGGATGTTGAATGGGATTGCTTAGATTCTATAGATTATGTGGAGGAATAATTTATATTTTACAATATAAAGATTTTCAGCCCATGAACATGGAATATCTCTTTATTTATTTGAAGATACTCTTCTTTAATTTATGTCAATGTTTTATAGTTTTCTTTCACACATTTCACTAGTTCCTAACTGTTTGATATTTTTAATGCAATTGTAAATGATGTCATTTAAAAATTAATTTTCAGGCAAGGTACAGTGGCTCACTCCTGTAATCCCAGCACTATGGGAGGTTGAGGCAGGAGGATCACTTGAGGCCAGGAGTTCAAGACCAGCCTGGGCAACACAGGGAGACCCCATCTCAAAAAAAAAAAATTTAGCCAAGCGTGGTAGTACCTGACTGTAATCCTAATTACTGGGGAGGCAGAGATGGGAGGAGGCTGAGGTGGGAGGAGGCTGAGGTGGGAGGGCTCTGCTTGAGCCCAAGAGTTCAAGGCTGCGGTGAGTTTGTGCCACTGTACTCCAGCCTGGGTGACAGAGTAAGATCCTGTCTGAAAAAATAATTTTCTAATTGTTGCTATTGTTTCAAAATACATCTGATTCGTGTATACTATCTTGTATCTAATTACTTTGCTTGTTAATTATAAATTTCTTTGGATTTTTCATGTACACATCCTATCTATCCAAAGGAACAGAAATCAAAATATAAAAGATATATGTAAACTTGGAATGTTTATTGCAGCACTATTCACAATAGCAAATATATAGAATCAACCCGTTTTCATCAACAAATGAATGAATAAAGAAAATGTCATATATATATGTAATGGAATTCTATTCAGTCATAAAAAGAAAGAAAACATGTCATTTGTGGCAACATGGATGGAATTGGAGAGAATTATCTTAAGTGAAATAATCCAAACACAAAGAAATAAATATTGCGTGTTCTCACTTGTATGTGGGAACTAAAATATTTGATCACATGGAGGTCAAGAGGGGAAAAATAAATAACAGAGACTGGGAAGGGTGAGTGTGGGAGAAAAGAGAGGAAGAGGAGGACTGGGTTAAAGGGTACAAACATATGGTAAGACAGAAGGAATTAATTCCATATTTGATGGTGGAGTAGGGGGACTGTACTTAACAAAAATCGATTTTACTTGGGTGATGGCTGTCCTCAATACGTTGACTTGACCGCTATGCGTTATATACATGTACCAAAATTTCTTATGTACCCCATAAGTTTATAGAAATAAAAAACAGCAAAAAATTGTATAAATAATGTTCAGTTATCTATTTTTATTTAATTTAGAAGCAATCATCTAGGTAAAAGACCAGTAGGAACAATCCTAATATAGCTAGTTATAGCACACCTACTATGATACAGAAACCTGGCTAAGGGTCGGTCAGGCAAAATCTCACCTCATCCTACCAATGACCCTATAAGGTCGGTATTATTATTATCCCTATATTTTAAATATGTAAAAGTAGTAGTAGCCTGACCAATGTAATGCCAAATGGCAGAATTGGGACTTAGGCCTAATGTACCTGACTCAAGAAGTAGCAATTTAATCTGTATCTCCACGTCTGTATATGGACCAAGGAGAAGTAAATTTTGTGTTTGTGAGTACCTTTAATTCTTTCTGTCCATCCGAAATATTCTAACCCCAAACCCCATGCCATGAGTGGCTTTTTAGGGAAAGAATTAAGACCATGTTGTAAAATCTTGTAAGTTGCAGTTTGCAGAATTAGTATTGGACCAACAATGTCCTCCCACTCAAGTGGCATAACGGTAGAAAACACTGTTACTAGTTAGAAATAGAATCTTAGGGGAGAAACTGATAGTCTAAACTACAGAACCCAGATTAAAATAGAAAAAATCTGTACTCTTCCTTAAAATAATTTGACTAAATTTTAAAAAAATTATTTCTGCAAATAAACAGTATTATAAAGTGGTATATTTAAACAAATAAATATCTACCTACAATGTAATTCTTTTTAATCTAATCTTGAACCAGTGGTTCTGGCTCCATCTTATCTTGTCATAATCTTTGTAACTCATCTTGAATGCTTTTTTGGAGTTGCACCTGTTCCTTGGTTTATATATGCTCCAGGGATTTCTTGTCAGCTGGCCGTAAGACATGATTTGGCAATTTGTCATTCCATTTACTGGATTCATTTAGCTGTGTAAAATTGACACTTATGGATACTTTAGTTTCAGGAATCCTTCTTATAACAGTGGGCTTTCACAATCTCCTTCCTATGCCATGCAGAAATAATCCTCCACAAGCCAAGCACAAAAGAAAAATCAGGTTGGTGGAGAACAAGTAAAGAAAAGGAGGAGAAGGTAAGTGAGAGGGAGAAGGTAAGTGAGAGGGAGGAGGAGGAAAGGGAGGGCCTGAGAAAAGCAAAGGTGAGAAAAGTCTCTGCTGCCGTAGAGCCTGGAGCAGCACGACCGGCTTGGCCTTCTCCATCCCCAGCCAGCAATGCAGAGGACACCGCAGGGACTCCCCAAGTGTCCGCACCCCTGGGCCTGCCAGGGCCTCCACCTGCTGGGCTGCCCTCCCTGTGCGCAAGGTGTGAGGAGATTCTTGGAGAGAGTTCCCCTGGGTTGCAGAGTCCTAATGGAATCTCACAGGAAAATTGCGTGGCCCCCAATGTCCTAGGTGTAGCGTTCGTTTCAGTTTTTTCATTAGAAATGTGTCCCTGAAGGCTCATGTCTGTGCCTTGAGAAAAGAGAAGGCCATCGTCACAATAACCCTCCGTTCTGACCAGGATGGAGTTGGGGTTGCTATTGCTCAAAAGCTTCCAGAACCTTCTGCTCCCACTCAGAATAAACCCAGAACCCTTGCCTGACCCAGAAGCCCCTTGGGGATCTGCCTCACAGCCCACCTCACCGATGGCTCTTCTCCCACCCAGGCCCTTGCTAATGGCCCTCTCACAGCACTGCCATCTACTCTTCAGACCTGCCCATCCCTCCTGCCTCAGAGCCTCCAACCTTCTGTTCCCTCTGCCAGAAATCACCACATACAACTTTGTCTTGTCTCTTTTTTTTTTTTTTTTTTTTTTGAGACAGAGTCTTGCTCTGTCACCCAGGCTGCCAGGCTGTAGTGCAGTGGTGTGATCTCAGCTCACTGCAGCCTCCACCCCCTGGGTTCAAGAGATCCTCCTGCCTCAGTCTCCTGAGTAGCTGGGACTACAGGCACCCAACCACCATGCCTGGCTAGTTTTTTTTTTTTTTTTAAGTAGAGACAGGGTGTCACTATATTGGCCAGGCTGGTCTCGAACTCTTGACCTCAAGTGATCTGCCCGCTTCAGCCTTGTCTCTTTCTGCAGGTCTCTGTTCAAATGGAGTCTCATCTCAGTGGCCTTTTCTAACTACTCTACCTAAAACAGCAGCTTAGGCCATCATTATCTGTCCCTTACTCTACTTGATTCCTGCCCATTGTACTCTACGCTGTCAGTGTTGTATATTTTCTTTCTTCCCTCCATGGAAGTGAGCCTCGTGCTTGTAGGGGCTTTATCTTGATTTGTTCAGCATGGTGTCCCTGTGCCTGTAGCAGTTGGTAATACAGAAAGGAAGCACATCAAGCATTACATGAATAACTATAGAAATTACTGGACTAACATGTGTGTTTGCTTTTTTGTTTGTGTTTTTCACTCAGAATGATTCCTTCCTAGGGGCTTCTGAGTCTCCTCCCTACCCCATTGTCTAGCCCTTTAAATACATTTGACAATAAAGTTCTATCTATTCCCCAGACATATTTGGACATGTGTGAATTCCAGCAAGAGAAGTAGTTTGTTTTTACCCCTGAAGGCTTCCAGCTGTGTGCAAGCAGACTTCCACAGATGCCACATCATCCTCTTAGCAGATGTGTTCTGATATTTCTAAATCCACCTAATTGTAAGCTGAAAATTCTCAATTGTGTTAAAAATTCTAAAATTTGTAACTATTTTTATTTCCAATGTAGTTAACATTTCACTCTACTTTTAAGCAGTATTCTTTTGCACTAGATTTCTAATTGAAAGTTGTTAAGAATTAGTTGACATCCTAAACTTTTGTTTTTTTTTGGTTTTTTGTTTTTTTACCATAATTTTTATTTGTAAAAAATGTTCTGTTCTGCTTCTGTTTTTTTTTTTTTCTTTTTTTTTTTTAAATCATACTTTAAGTTCTGGGATACATGTGCAGAACGTGCAGGTTTGTTACATAGGTATACATGTGCCATCGTGGTTTGCTGCACCCATCAACCCATCATCTACATTAAGTATTTCTCCTAATGCTATCCCTCCCCTAGCCCCCAATCCCCCAACAGGCCCTGGTGTGTGATGTTCCCCTCCCTGTGTCCATGTGTTCTCACTGTTCAACTCCCACTTATGAGAGAGAACATGCGGTGTTTGGTTTTCTGTTCTTGTGTTAGGTTGCTGAGAATATGGTTTCCAGCTTCACCTATGTCCCTGCAAAGGACATGAACTCATCCTTTTTATGGCTGCATAGTATTCCATTGTGTATATACACCACATTTTCTTTATCCAGTATATCACTGATGGGCATTTGTGTTGGTTCCAAGTCTTTGCTATTGTGAACAGTACTGCAATAAACATACGTGTGCATGTGTCTTTGTAGTAGAATGATTTATAATCCTTTGGGTATATACCCAGTAATGGGATTGCTGCGTCAAATGGTATTTCTGGTTCTAGATCCTAGAGGAATCGCCACACTGTCTTCCACAACGGTTGAACTAATTTACACTCCCACCAACAGTGTAAAAGCGTTCTTGCTTCTCCACATCCTCTCCAGCATCTGTTTTTTCTTGACTTTTTAATGATCGCCATTCTAACTGGCGTGAGGTGGTATGTCATTGTGGTTTTGATTTGCATTTCTCTAATGACCAGTGATGATGAGAGCTTTTTTTCATATGTTCGTTGGCTGCATAAATGTCTTCTTTTGAGAAGTGTCTGTTCATATCCTTCACCCACTTTTTGATGAGGTTGTTTGGTTTTTCCTTCTAAATTTGTTTAAGTTCCTTGTAGATTCTGGATATTAGCCCTTTGTCAGATGGATAGATTGCAAAAATTTTCTCCCATTCTGTAGGTTGCCTGTTCACTCTGATGAGAGTTTCTTTTGCTATGCAGAAGCTCTTTAATTAGATTCCATTTGTCAATTCTGGCTTTTGTTGCCATTGTTTTTGGTGTTTTAGTCATGAAGGCTTTTCACATGCCTATGTCCTGAATGGTATTGCCTAGGTTTTCTTCTAGGGTTTTTATGGTTTTAGGTCTTACGTTTAAGTCTTTAATCCATCTTGAGTTAATTTTTGTATAAGGTGTAAGGAAGGGGTCCAGTTTCAATTTTCTGTGTATGGCTAGCCAGTTTTCCCAACACCATTTATTAAATAGGGAATCCTTTCCCCCATTGCTTGTTTTCGTCAGGGTTGTCAGACATCCTAAACTTTTAAATTTAAGAATTTACATTTTTTAAAGAAACTGATAGTCATTTAAAAATCCATAACTCAAAAAATAATAATTCCTCCTATGTTTTCAACCAAGAGAAGTGAAAATCTGTTTACACAAAGGCCTGAATATAAGTATTCATAACAACTTTCTTCTTAATAGCCAAATATTTTAAAAATAGTTTATCACTGAAGAATAGTTAAACAAGCTGTAATATATTCCCACAATGGTTACTACCCAACATAAGAAGAATGACATATATACTGGAAACAACATGGACATATCTCAAAGGCATTAAAATATATGAAAGAAACCAGGTATAAGATAATTTACTATATGATTCCATTTATATTAAATTCTTTTTTTTTTTTTGAGACAGCATCTCACTCTATAACCAAGGCTGGAGTGCAGTGATGTGATCACAGATCACTGCAGCCTTGACCTCCCAGGCTCAGGTGGTTCTTCATCCTGAGTAGCTGGGACCACAGGTGTGCCATCACACCTGGCTAATTTTGTGTGTGAGTGTGTGTATGTTTTTTGAGATGGGGTTTTGCCATATGTGTGTTGCCCAGGCTGGTCTCAAACTCCTGGGCTTAAGTGATCCTCCCTTCTCAGTCTAATGCTAGGATTTACAGACATGAGTCGCTGCTTGTGGCCTGTAACAAATTCTAAGAAAGACAAAACTAGAGTGAAAAAAAAGCAACTGCCAGGAGCTGTGGTGTGGGGAGGGCACTGAATACAGCAGCATACGAGGGAGTTTTGGGGGTAATGAAATGTATTTTAATGGTAGTGTTGTGTATATGACTATATATATTTGTCCAAATGCATTCATTTGTACACTTAAAATTGGTAAATTTATTATATGTAAATTAAACTCAATCAGACTATAAAAATAAACTTTTGATCCTGAAAAAATACCTACATACATACAAACTACCTCTGAAACAAATGACTTTTTCAGAATTTCTAATTTAAATATTCAGAAATATGAATGATGATGATGAATTTTAACAAGGCTTGCATAATTCAATTCTTTTTTGGATCACACCTGAGAGGCATATTAGCTGCTGGACTTATGTAGACTTCCTTACCTTCTTTGCATATAAAAAAACAGGAGGTTGAGACAGAAACAAGATATGTAATTAATGTACAATGAAAGTTTCTACTGCCCAGTAAATAAAGCTTTCTATTGCCCAATGAATTGTGCCTGGCAGCACAATTGATCATTCTTTTTACCCTCAAAGCATCCTTGAAATGATTGACTCAACCATGAGAGAAACACTCTAAATATTCTCAGATACAAACTAATAGGATCAGCTTCACAGAACACCTGCAGATGCAACTAACTAAAAATCCAGCTCAATTTGACTTTAATAAGAAGGCACTTTATTGACTCAGGTGGGTAGTTCAGAAGAAGGCCAGGCTTCAGGGTGAATTTGAGCAAAAAGAAGCTCAGGTATGCTACCCAGGACTCAGTCTCTTCCCAATTTTCTGCTCTGCCTTCAGTGAAGTCAGAATCATTCTGAGTGTGGCAAAATCTCTAGGAATAATTTATGAGGCTGCATTCTTCATCAAAGAGGGAAGATGAACAAGCACATTCTTGTTCCTAACAACCTAGCACAACTTGTATTTGACTCTAATTGGAACAACTCAGGCCCTTGCCCATCCCCAAGTCCATTAGGGGGACCAAGGGAGTGCTGTGTGGCACCTGGCATGAGCCTCAGTTATGCACCCACCTTGGAACCAGTAACTGTGACATAGGGTGAGACAGTGGTGGTTAGGTTAAGTCAACCAGCACCCACCCCATGTTTCAAACCATGTGACTAAATAATTCAGGGCTCTGTTAGGAAGAAGAAAGGTGGATGCTTCTTGAATAGCACCCAACACTCAACTACAATTTGATTTGACAGGAACCCAGAGGCCTTCTCCATAGAAATCTCTCACAGTTGTTTGGAAAGAGAGCACTCAGTACAAAAATACTATGGCAACAACCCTGTGGCCTCAAGGGTGCTACGGACTTGGTGTGGAGGGTGGGGAAGGACTCAGTGTCTCCTGCAGATGAAGCAGAAGAGATGGCACTGCCTTAGCAGAGTAGAAAATGTTTAACCCCAAGAGATGCCTACAGAGGCAGCTGAGCCACACCACAGACTCCTACAAGGGCTTGGGTTAGGGTTACCACGTGTCTAGATAAGCAGAGGAGATGGTGAGGCAGACACAGAAAGGTCGGTTCAAAGCTGATTGGGAAGAGTGTGATCCCAAGACCCCTCAGTCCACACTGGCAGTCAAATACTCCTCCCTGACGTCGGAAAAAGAAACAATTTATTTTCTTCAGACTTTGAAACAGAACTTTTGTAAGCTCCAGGACACTAGATAATGCAGCTTATGTAAAGAGAGTATTTAGTGAAAGCCAATTTACTGAGCAGGGAGATCCTCAGACTCTTTCTCCCTCTTGGCTCCCAGAATGCTAGGGTCAGGCTTGCAGTCTTAGGAGATTGGCGACCTCTTTTTGGAGAGGATCTGCAGATACCAACATTTTCAGGGTTTCCTCAGGTCCAGGAGTGCCACGCTCCTGTGGATTCTTCCTCTGTGGAAGCAAAGGAAGACTCCATCTGTGCATACGGAATGCATTAATTATATTTTCTTATTTTCTGTTTTCTTGATGTTCTAGCATCTGGGGTTTACTGGGAAAAGATTGCCTTTCCCAGGGCCAGCCAATTAAACTACCAGTCCAGAACCAATACTCCTAACCACCTACTTTATCTGGCTCTGATACTGTAGGAGACAATACCGCTCTTCCCTAATCACCCCAGGGCCGGTGCCTTATGGACTGAAATTCTGAAATCTTTTTATGCCTGGCCTTTCCATCCTTCAACTTCCCCTCTCCCATGCTGTGAATGATTGTATTGGACATTTTTGTTTTAATCTCAGTGACAGGGGAACACAGGTAGCTCTAATATAGCTGTGACCCAGATGCTTCTGTTTCTAGCATGTATTTATTTTGTAGCAAACATTTACATCCATCATTTTTCACTGTCTTTTGAAAATAATTAGGCAATATCTCATCTGAGGTAGGATGTTTCTAGGGGTTGTGTTCTGAGGGAGAAAAACTAATCTGTTCTCTTTCCACTGCATTCCAGGAACAGTAAGAGGACCTTGTGCATGAATAATTTGTTTCCACACTACAGAGTGATTAATAAGCAGATTAGTAAAAACAATTCTGCTTCACTTAGTAACAGCCTCCTCCAACTCATTTTTTCTCAACAAACTTATTTTTCCAGCAGAAGAATCACAGACTTCTTAGAGAACCCAGTGAGTTTTCACACCTTAAATCTGTGAAATCCTCATGTTTTCTTCTGCCGTATCCATAGTTCAAACAAAGATGAGGCAAAACTAGATGCATTCCTGAAGGAACCCAAGAAATTCCTCTCTTTCTATCTCTGGAATGAAATGCATTATCTAGACCATCAATTCTAACCTTCAAAAACCAAACCTGTTTGTGAGATCTCCTTCAAATACTACTGTAGACCCCAGTGTTTATTCATTAAATTTTTAAAATATTTGTTTTATTTGGAATCCATGTATTTGTAATTTTAGTGTTTGTATTAATATCAGGGAGAAATGTTTAAATCTGTCTATGCCATATGTGCCTCTGGCTTATTGCCCAATTAATTGTAGCCTCAGGCTAAACTTTGGTTTCTGTCTTTAATTTTTGTCAGAACAAATATAACTGATCTCAAAACATCTGCTTTTATTGTAGGGACTCGTGCTGCCATCTCCATTCCTATCTCTTTTCTTGCAATCTGGGTGGAAGTTCTTTAATATGAACATTTCAGCCACCTTCATTCTACCACGTCCGCTATCAGCACATTCAAACTGATCCAGCCAAGGCTGTCATCTTAGGCCAGGGATTTTTTAGGAATCTATTTTGCTGTGATGCGGCTGGCACCGCTTTGACTCACTTTATCACCCCAGGGTTCTTTTCATTTTAGAAGCCCAAGAAGGCAGAAAAAGAAGTAGGTGAGCAATTAAACCCTCTGAGTCAGGAGCGTCTCCCCTTGTGTTAGGCAATGTTGTAGAACATTGTGTTTAGCAAGCTCCTAGCAGATGAGCCACGTGGCTGCTGAGCACACACGCCTGCTTGCTGCTGTGAGCTCAGACACCATCATCATGTCCTTTCCATCTCTGGAGGGAATTGTAAGGGCCACTTAATAACCTCTAAATCAGAGAGATGAAGGTGCTTCCCCAAAACACTGATGACAGAATGAAAGGTGAGGAGTGTTAGCCACAGGTCAAAAGTGCAGGAAAGTCTCTCAGTGTGGGTTGTTGAAGAAATGCAGGTCTTTTTTCTTTTGGAAGTCTCCCTAGAATGGGGTCAAGGACTCTGCCCATTCTAGGATGAAAAATTGGGATATTAGACACCCTCAGATATTTATCCTAAGCTTCCATTTTGGGCTCTTAATTAGTTTGTTCATCCATCACAATCTCAAATGCTAAGCAGGGCATTTGAATCTCTCCACAGTGCAAATCAGCGCCGTCTTTTAAAGTTGAGTTTCTTCTTATTCTCACCTGATACACCTTATTTATCCCACACCCACCCCAATAACATATCGTGCTCATTGTTATCTTTGAGGCAACCCTTGAATTTTACTCAGCCTGGAGCGCTCTTCACATGTCTTGTCCAGAGCCAGTTCGGACTCATTCTTCAGCCGTGCATCAGTCAGTGGGGGCTAGCTTAAACTGTGGTGACAAACAACCTCCAAATTTCAGTGGCTCAAAAATCTTCTTCCTCATTTATTTACATCTCATGACTGGTCAGGTGAGAGGTAGCTCTGTGCTGTGTCATCCTAACACAGGAATCCAGAAGGAAGGAGGGACCGTCAATAAGATCCCCATTGCTATAGAAAAGAGAAAAAAGCATGCGGAATAGAACGCTGTTTCTTGGAGATTTCTCCTGAAAAAGTCACGTTATTTCTTCTCACCTCCATTGGCAAAAAAAAAAAAAAAAAAAAAAAAAAAAAAAAAAAAAAAAAAAAAAGTCATGTGGCCATGGGAAAATTTAAGTAGGTGGGATGGAACAGTCAGAATGCATTCATAAAAAATGAACTGAAAATATTTGGAGAACAGCACCAATGACTATCATGAATGCCAACATACATCCCTAACAACCCAGTGCTGTTACCCTCCAAACTTTTTATGTCTTGCAAAGTATTAGAACTTCATATCTGAAGCCATACCACTCAGAGGGAATGCAATACATATTGACATCTCCTTTAGGATGTCCATAGAGAATTCAAGAAAAGAAATAATTTAAAAGTGCTTTTGGGTACAGCTATTTAGCACTAGAGGGTAAGAGTAGAGATAGATTGTAAAGATAATAATAGGGTTAGGCATAGGATTAGGATCTGGGTCAGAGTCAGGGCCGGAAGTATGGTTAGAGGTGGGGTCATGGTCAGGGTCAAGATCAAAGTCAGGGTTAAAGTAAGGGTCAGAATTAAGGACCAGGGTAGGGATCAGGATTTAGGTTCAGGCTCAAAGTCTTGGGACAGGGTTAGGGTTAGGATTAGAACCAGAGCTTTGTTCTCAGGACCCACCCGAGGGTGGGTCACCATGGCTTTGGAGCACCTGGTAGTGTGGCGTGTCCACAGTGAAGACCAGAGTTTCATTGTCCTTAAGACTGACCTGGGAGACGTGGCTGCAGGCCATTGAGGAAGGTGAGGCAAAAGCTTCCTGTCTGCTCCCCGTGTGCTGAGGAGGGAGCTCTGCCATGGGCTTTACTTTCACACGTTATATTCTACAAGTCTTGTTTTACAAAAGCATCCCTTCCTTGAGGCTTCGGCTGCTCATCGCTGCTCATCATCATAGCGTGCCATAACATATAGTAAGATTTGGGTTTGTTTCTGGGAGAGATCTTGGCATAGAGAAAGGAGAAATGCTTAGAGCCACCATCAAGACAGTTGGGATGAAAGCTGGGGATAGGCAGAGGCTGGAGGAAACATGTGCACCCCTTGTAAACACTTATTCATGTTTTAGTTATTCACTTAAAGTGTTAAATTAGTAAAAATAGTATTGAAAAATTGAAAAGTAGGCATATTAAAACTTGTAACACTATTTAAGCTTAGATATATTATTTGTACCTCATCAACATTTTTTATTTTGTTGAGAAAGTGTAAGGTTAATTGGCAGCATATTTCTAATAGTAGATAGAATAATGTCTGTTTTATAAATGTTGACATCCTACATTACATGTGTGAACCCTGAAAATCTGAGACAGCTCTCAGATTTTTAAGAAAGTTTATTTTGCCAATCTTGAGGATGTGCACCCGTGATGCCTCCCCAGGAGGTCGTGACAACATGGGCCCAAGGTGATCGGGGCACAACTTGGTTTTATACACTTTAGGGAGACATGAGACATCAATCAATACGTGTAAGATGTACATTGGTTCAGTCCAGAAAGGTGAGAAGGCCAGACAGGGGGCTTCCAGGTCATAGGTAGGTAAGAGACAAATGGTTTCATTCTTTTGCATTGCTGATTACCCTCTCCAAATGAGGCAATCAGGTATGCATTTATCTCGGTGAGCAGATGGGTGACTTTGGATACAATGGGAGGCGGGTTTGCCCTAAGCAGTTCCCAGCTTGACTTTTCCCTTTAGCTTAGTGATTTTGATTCCCAAGATTTATTTTCCCTTCATAAGATTTTCCTATGAGCATTAATTATTCATTGTGTATTTTATCACACAAATAAGGCACAGATTTTTAAAAAATCATCAACTTCCTGGCTACCTATATAGACATAATTACATAGAAGCTCAACTAAATTTGCAAACATTCCAGAGTTTGGGTTTCCAATAATTCTTTGTGATTCTTTAAAAGGTAAAGTATTTTTTTCCCATAAAACATAGCAACATTTAAAATCACCCGTAGAATGTCCTGCCATTTTTGTTTCTGTAGTTTCCTCATTTTCTGCAAAGCCTCGCTGAGGAAATTGACTTTGAATATCCTTTTACACTCTTCTGTTTTAGAAAGCATTGTGGTAAAACATTGAATCATCATGGTCATAAGTTCTGTTCACATTCTTTCTTGCTTTGAATATTTTTTCCCAGTGGCCAATATTTGATTCTGTTGTATCATGGCTAAAAGGTAGGCATGGCAACAAAATAAAGACAGGAAGTCTTTGGAATAAGTGATCCCATCACAATGAATCAATTTGCCATTGGAACATATTTTTACAAAGTCACTCTTTCGAAAATATTTAGCTATGAATTGAAACAGAGTCTGTATAGTTAATATTTTTCCTGGTCTAAGGTGAACAGCATTTTAGAGAATGAACTCAGGACACAACCACAGCACAAGAAAAACGTGATAATTAAGTTTACACATATGTGTTACTACCGCAACAGAAAACATGTAAAGAACATTTGATTTATGTATCAGTCTGCACTGTTTAATTTTTTGTGTCATAAATACTCTTATTTAAAAAAACAGGACTAGTTAACAGTGTCAATTACTAGTAATTCATGGTATAAATAATTAAACAAGGAAGTGTTCAAAAAAAACAGTGTTTTAAATAAAGTTTTATTTTACATCATCTTTTTTACTTACACAGAAATTGTCAAAAAAAAGCAGAGATTTCCCATGTAGCCGCAACCTAGTTTCCTCTCTTATTAACATCTTCTATCAGTGTGTCTCACATGGCTTATTAATATCTTACATAATTTGTCACAGTTAATGAACCAATACTGATAGACTATTATTAATTGAAGTTCATATTTCATTTGGATTCCCTTAGTTCTATCTTACTCTGACCCAGGATCCCATCCAGGATCCCGCATGACATGTAGACATCACGTGGGCTCTTCCTGGCTGTGACAGTGTGTCAGGCTTTCCATCTCATGATGACCTTCATAGCACTGAGGAGGATTGGTCAGGAATGTTGTAGAATGTCCCCCATTGTCACTTCATGTTCTCAAGGTGAACTGTCACCTTTGATGTTCACTTGGATCATTTGGCAGAGCTAATGTTTGTCAGGTTTCTCCACTGTGAGGTTATTTCTCCTCCTTGTCCGTACTGCATGTGTTCTTTTGGAGCAAGTCACTATGCAGAGCCTTACTCCGTCAGGAGTTGGCTCCACCTTCTTGACGGCTGAGTGTCTACATCAATTATTTGGAATTCTTTTGCAAAGGAGATTTCTATGCAACTCCATTTGCTTATTCACCTAGGTATACAAATACAGACACCTAGATAATTACTTTAAGCTTTAGTTATTATTCAACACTACAGTATTATGTTGCACAATTCATTCCTGTGTTGGCCATCAGTAGCTGTTTTTATTGGCTCTTATTTTTCTTTGATATGTTTTAATTTTTTTAGTACTTACTTTCTGATACTTCCAGATTATCCTGGCTCCTATATTTACTGTCCCAGTTCTAGTATCAGACATTTCTTCAAAGAGCCTGATTACTTTCAGAATGGTAGGAAAACTTACATCTGGCTGCTGAATGAGCACATTGTATCTTCTCCCTCATTGGCAATGCTAGGAAGTATATGTGTGTGTCTAACCTACCTATACACACCTAATTATAAAGTTTTCTATGTAGAACTGTGTGTGTCTATATTAAACTAAACATAAGTTTACGTTGATGTCTCCACCTCTGATCTACTATCACATGAATCATTCTAGCCTTCTCGCCTTGCTAATTTGTAACCTCCCACTTCAACAGTAAGAAACCTGGTTCCCACCATCTGTGACTTATGTAAGTCATTGTTTTATTCCAGATACAGACACTGTGGTTTTACAATTGTTCACAATTGCTTCTGTTGGAAAGAACTTTATAAAATGGAATCCAATAATGAAGTATAGTTCATGTGCCTTCAGCCTACAGATTCTATTCATTTTCAAAGTTTTTACCTAGATTTGTGTCTTAGTCCATTTTGTGCTTCTGTAACAGAATACCTGAGGCTGCGTAATTTATAAGTAAAAAAGTTTCATTTGGTTCACAATACTGGTGGCTGGAATGTCTCAGATTGGGCGGTTGCATCTGGCGGGGCCTCAGTCTTTTTCACCTCATGGTGGAAAGTGGAAGGGGAGCAAGGGGTGCACCAGCGATCACACAGCAGAAGTGAAAGCAAGAGGGAAGCCAAGGAAGCCAGGCTCTTTTTAATTACCTGCTCCTGCAGGAATTATCTATTCCTGTGAGAACAGAACTCACTCACCCCCATGGAGGACATTAATCTATTCATGAGGGATCCGTCCCCACGACCCAAACACCGTCCACTAGGCCCCACCGCCCCACACTGACACAGTGGGAGTCAAATTTCAACATGAGTTTTTGTGGGGACAAACCACATCCAAACCATAGTAATTTGTAGCATAAATTCTTTTTCACATGATGTATTCTGTCATGGGATACTCCACATCCTGAGTAATTTGATTTAATTTGAATAGAGTTTGCTTTAACCATTTGGCTGTAAAATTCTGCATATTTCGACAAATGCATTGTGGCAGATATCCCGCTATTAAAGTATCATATGGAATGCCTCAAACCCCCACCCCATGGAGCCAATGGCTTCCCATCTGTGTAGTTTGCCTTCTCCAGTGTCTCATTAAATGAGGTCACACTGTGTGTATCCTCCTCAGACTGTCTTCTTCCACTTAGCAATGTGCATGCAAGATTCACTCATGTCTTTGTGTGTGTTGATATCTTGTTCCTTTCTATGGCTAAATAGTATTCCATTACATGAATGTAGCAGAATTTGGTTATGCATTTTGGGGAGCAGAACCTTCCTCTTCTAACTTTGTTCCAGGGTTGGAGACCTTCAAGTTAACTGACAATAGATACATTAGTAGGAGAGACAATACTTGGCTTCTTGTTCCCCAAGTATCATTGTGGGACAAAATTCATCAGATGGCAGGATCCAGTTTACAAAGAGGTAAAAATAGCCCAGAAACAAGAAACAAGACTAGAATCTGATAACTCACAATGGCTATAGTTTTCCTTTAAAAAAATTTTTTTTGAGACAGGGTCTGGCTCTGCCGCCCAGGCTGGAGTGCAAAGGTGCAATCTCAGCTCACTGCAACCTCTACCTCCTGGGTGCAAACGATCCTCCCTCCTCAGCCTCCTGATTACCTGGGACTACAGGCACATGCCGTCATGCCCATCTAATTTTTGTATTTTTGGTAGAGACGGGGTTTCACCATGTTGCCCAGGCTGATGTTGAACTCCTGGCCTTCCAAAGGGCTGTAATTATAGGCATATGCCACCATGCCCGGCTGTGTTATACTTTTCCTTTGAAAGATAAAATTTCTCTCTGTAGTAACCATCATTTTTGATCATAATCAAAGTAAGACTATTCTTGTTTTAAAAATAAGTCTAGTTTTGTTAGATTTTGCTTGATTATTTACGTAAGTGCAGCAAGAACAGGAGATGACCACGTAGGTGCTTTCAGGTTTCTTTGCTGGAAGTTTTCATACAGAATCTCAGATTTGACTTTTAAAGGCCTTATTCAGGCTAAAAGCCAAGCCAAGAACATACTATCAAATTTCAGCTGCAGTCCTTATAGCTTTTTGTGAATTCCTCTCTTCTTGAGGCCCCAAAATATCCCTAAATTCCTGGGCCTACCAGGAAATGACCTTCCTTACTAACCTATAAGGCTGTGAACCCTGTAATCTAGGTATCAGGCTGGGTTTTCTCAGAGTGCTGTTGGGAATGAAGTTTTTTATGTTCCCCCCCCAAAAAAAAAGAACTAACATGGGAACAAATGATCTCTTAGCAAGGCGAGCTTTATTTTTCTGCACAAAGGGTGCTACTCAATAGCTGTCCAGCTACAAGAGCACACCAAACAAAGGAGACAGAGTTACTTATAACCTGACGTGTCTACCCTACTGCTGTGTCCAGTTTCCATTGGCTGGAATAGGACCTCCCATTTTACACTTTACCCGATTGGCTGTTAGTTTAAAACTTTCTTAATTAGGTAAGGGGAATAGAAGAAAGAAAGAAAAGGAAGTTGCCCAGGGGTAGTTAAGGAAGCATCTCCAAATAAGGAATGGCATGCACTATGGGCTGGGGCTTGTCTAGTTCTGTCCAGGCATGCTGGAGCAAGCTAGGACAAGTGATTTGGAACACACACACACACACACACACACACACACACATAAAAATAGTGGGTAGTTGTGACTTTATAATCTTTGAGGAAGAACTTTCCTCAAAGTTTTCCACAGTGCTTTGTAAGCATTGTCTCCATAAAAGTCAACCTTACTTCCTTAAAATTGCTGGTCATAACTGATCTTAGGTACACTTCCTAAATATGATATTCCAGTAAAAACCTTGATAATATAACCAAAATTTCCAATTATGTCCTGTTATAAGGTGAATAGATTCTTATTGGACTTTTGCTAACAACAATATCATCGTGGAAATAAGAGTATTCAGTAAGGATTTCAAAATTCTGGAAAAATCAGGCAAGAAAAAAAGATAAACGCTTCATTTCTGTTTACAAAAGTATAATCTACTAAATTGTTGTAAGTTACAGTTAGAGTAAGAGAAAGAGATTTCTTAAATCCAGAAACTATAATATTAACCAGCAATGCTCCAAAAAGCTATACAATTATAATCAATTTTCATCAGTTCATTCAGTGCCATGTAATCAATTCCAGTCTTGTGGATCTTGAGTTAGCAGTGTCATGAACCCATCAGTTTCCCAACTGGACTTCTGGAGACCTTAACTGAGTCAAGTGTATGGTCTTAAAGTTATTTAAGCAATATCATCAGAAGCCTATAACCAGAGTACCTGTCATAGTCTTTTCTGTGAGTCTCAGAGGGAGTCCTGTCTTGGAGACGAACATTCTGACCTGTAGTTGATTGCAGGAGCTTTCAGGAAAGCATCAGGGGGAAATAATATCTAAATGACGAAAAGTATGAAATGGCTGTGATGAAAGATCTGATGAGAGTTCATTATACCACAACTGACAAGGATATTCGATTTTTTCTGTGGCAGACAACATTTATTTATTTCTTTATTTAGAGACAGAGTCTTGCTCTGTCGCCCAGGCTGGAGTGCAGCGGTGCGATCTCGGCTCACTGCAAGCTCTGTCTCCTGGGTTCACGCCATTCTCCTGCCTCAGCCTCCCGAGTAGCTGGGACTACAGGTGCCTGCCATCACGCCCGGCTAATTTTTTATATTTTTAATAGAGATGGAGATTCACCGGGTTAGCCAGGATGGTCTGGATCTCCTGACCTTGTGATCCACCCGCCTCAGCCTCCTAAAGTGCTGGGATTATAGGCATGAGCCACTGTGCCTGGCACAACATTTAAAGTAATAATTGGAATTATGACTCATTACTCTATAGTGGCACATAGCATGGATAAGGAGGACATTGACAAACTTCCAGGAATTTTATATAATTTCTGAAAACATAACATTTTACCCATACAAATATAACACAGGGAAGGTTAGGTATCTCTTTTTATTTGTATCTTCTGTATGGTTTTCCTTATAAAAAATGCAACCTACTTTACTTGCGAAACATGCCCTACTTTTCTTGCATGCTTTGCATAGAGTTGTTTCTAGTTATTCTATTATTTCTAGTAGTTTTATTTACATATATTGATTATAATTTTAATACTTAGTAATCTTTTATTTTCCAGAGAAAACTAGGAAGTAGACAGTTATAAACTGTCATATATTAGCATTCTATAGTAGGTTAGAAAATGTATGAATATACCATCTCCCAACATCTAGAGGGATGTGTTTTCTCATAATACAATTCCTCAGTGTGGCAGAAAAAAACATGTTTATTAACGGGCCAAAATATCTTTAGTCTCTCTGTAAAAACAGGAAGCCAAAAGTATATAAACTTGAATTATTTATGTTCAGTAATTAATGTTTTAGTATTGTATCTTATTTATAAATGGTCTAGATATTTAATGCAAATCTTTTACTTAGCTTAACTTTAAGGTTAAAAATTACCAAAAGTACTTTGGAAACTATTCTTAGGCAGATTTACTGTAAACAAATTATTTTTGAAATAATGTTTTTCGCTTTTCACAAGACGGCACCGAAAGCGAAGGAAGCTCCTGCTCCTCCTAAAGCCGAAGCCAAAGCGAAGGCCTTAAAGGCCAAGAAGGCAGTGTTGAAAGGTGTCCGCAGCCACACGCAAAAAAGAAGATCCGCATGTCACTCACCTTCAGGCGGCCCAAGACACTGCGACTCCGGAGGCAGCCCAGATATCCTCGGAAGAGCACCCCCAGGAGAAACAAGCTTGGCCACTATGCTATCATCAAGTTTCCGCTGACCACTGAGTCGGCCGTGAAGAAGATAGAAGAAAACAACACGCTTGTGTTCACTGTGGATGTTAAAGCCAACAAGCACCAGATCAGACAGGCTGTGAAGAAGCTCTATGACAGTGATGTGGCCAAGGTCACCACCCTGATTTGTCCTGATAAAGAGAAGGCATATGTTCGACTTGCTCCTGATTATGATGCTTTCGATGTTGTAACAAAATTGGGATCACCTAAACTGAGTCCAGCTGGCTAACTCTAAATATATGTGTATCTTTTCAGCATAAAAAAAATAATGTTTTTCATAAGAATGACAACTTAATTAGAATCAAATCTATAAGCTTTAAGATTTTACGTTTCTAGTAAGTATAATATTAGCTTATTTGACTAGAACTCAAGCAGAATAGGAATTTATGCTTGTTTTATATTCAATAATGATAATTTTGAAGATATAGTTGTTTTATTACACCAAAAATCCTATATTAATCTTATTTAACTAAGTTTTATCCAAATCATGTTAACTTAAGAAACATTTGATCAGTTCCTATATTTCTAGGAGTTTGGTGAATATTTATTTATAAATGCTTATTTTTTTCCAAGCCAAGTTAGAATAGAGCACTTTTAGAGGATTTCATAAATGAATTTTGCAATGCTCTCTGGAGTTAAGAAAATATCACATATACATAACATACATTAATAGATACACAAACACAAATAGAGATTTCATAGCTTTCATCCTGAAATTTCAGCCATGAATCAGGCATAAATATTCTGATGGTTAATTTCAGACATCTACTTGATCGGATTGAGAGACACACATAGCTGGTCAAACACGATTTCAGCCATGAATCAGGCATAAATATTCTGATGGTTAATTTTAGACATCTACTTGACTGGATTAAGAGACACACATAGCTGGTCAAACATGATTTCAGCCATGAATCAGGCATAAATATTCTGATGGTTAATTTTAGATATCTACTTGAGTGGATTAAGAGACACACATAGCTGGTCAAACACAATTTCAGCCATGAATCAGGCATAAATATTCTGACGGTTAATTTTAGACATCTACTTGATCGGATTGAGAGACACACATAGCTGGTCAAACACGATTTCAGCCATGAATCAGGCATAAATATTCTGATGGTTAATTTTAGACATCTACTTGAGTGGATTGAGAGACACACATAGCTGGTCAAACACAATTTCAGCCATGAATCAGGCATAAATATTCTGATGGTTAATTTTAGACATCTACTTGAGTGGATTGAGAGACACACATAGCTGGTCAAACAATTTCAGCCATGAATCAGGCATAAATATTCTGACGGTTAATTTTAGACATCAACTTGACTGGATTAAGGGACACACATAGCTGGTCAAACACGATTTCAGCCATGAATCAGGCATAAATATTCTGATGGTTAATTGTAGACATCTACTTGACTGGATTGAGAGACACACATAGCTGGTCAAACACGATTTCAGCCATGAATCAGGCATAAATATTCTGATGGTTAATCGTAGACGTCTACTTGACTGGATTGAGAGACACACACAGCTGGTCAAACACGATTTCTGGGCATATCTATGAGGGTGTTTCTGGAAGACACTGAGATAACCATGACCCAATGTGGATGGGCACTGATATGGTTTGGCTGTGTCCCCACCCAGATCTCATCTTGAATTGTAGTTCCTGTAATACCTACATGTCGTGGGAGGGACCCAATGGGAGGTGACTGAATCATGGTGGTGGTTACTGCCATGCTGTTCTCATGACAGTGAGTGAGTTCTCATGATCTGATGGTTTTATAAGGGGCTTTTCCCCTTTGGCTCAGCACTTCTTGTTGCTGCCATGTGAAGAGGGATAGCTTTGCTTCCCCTTCTGCCATGATTGTGAGGCCCCTGCAGCCATGTGGAACTGTCAGCCCATTAAACCCCTTTGTTCTTTATAAATTGCTCAGACTCAGGTATTTCTTCATAGCTGTATAAAAATGGATGAATACAGGCAGCATCCAATTGGTTGAGAGCCCAGATAGAATAACAAGGAAGAGGAAAGGTGAATTATCTCCTTCTGAAATGGAAACATCCTTCTTCTCCTGCCCTTGACATCAGAACTTCAGGGTCTCAGACCTTTGGCCTCACAATCAGAGTTACACCATTGGCTTCCCCGATTCTGAGTCCTTTGTATCTGGAGTGAGCCATGCTACCAGCTTTCCTGGTTCTCCAACTTGGAGACAGGCTATTGTGGAACTTCTCAGCCTCCATAATTATGTGAACCAGTTCCCCTAATGAATCTTCTCTCATCTGTCTACATATATCCTATTGATTCTGCCTTTCTGGAGACCCCTGACTAATGTGATTACAATAACTACACAATTCACTAGTTTATATAGAAGACTTGGTTTTTGTCTTTGCCCCATTTTATATTTGTATTATAACTATGTATCTGGAAAATGGAACAAGTTTTTTCTTCTTCATATGAGGGCTAAGGCTTTTTTCTCACCAATATTTTTGGAGATTTTAAAGATTTTCTTTTTTTTTGACATAGAATCTTATGGAGGCTGAGAAATAATTTTTTTTCTATTTTATTCTTCAGCCCCAGGTGTTTGCTTTTGCAGATTCTTGAGCACACTGAGAGCCTCCAAGGCATGGAGTGGGGTGCCTGAAGTTTCAGTGATTATAGGGAGTTGAGAGACTCAACTGGGAAAGGAAAGGTCTAAAAGGAGGCAATTTGGAAGATAAAAATTTTCTCAAAGGAGCCATTAAAGTTGTAAATAATTCTTAGTAAAGTCATGCAAACAGGAAAAGAAGTAGAATTAGTTCCATATTGGTGGAACACATAGTCAGCAGAGGTTTGAGAAGGGAGAATTTAGTGAAGTGAGAAGTTCCCATGAAAGCAGCAAGATCAAGATCACAGACACCTTGAAACAAAAAGCCAGGAATAACTTCCAACCCAAGAGGAGAACAGAGAGGCCTCAAAACCAAAGGTAGGATAAGAAACTTGTAGCCCAAGAGTTATCTTCCAGACAAAGAAGCCTGAGATTCCAACGCAGCTTCAGAGAGTGCTCACTCAAAATGTTACTGAAACTGTAGGCTTTTTAATGACTTAGCCATGCCTGCAAAAGGCATTCCCTAAGGTGGCACAGAAGACGGAGCCCCCATATCCAAAGATAGCCAAGGAGAAAGAAAGACCCCTGTTGCCAGAGCCAGTGGGCAAAGGCAACAGAAAAGGAGACAAGGGTCCTAATGGGATGAGATCCTTTCGGATTTAGGCTTTTATACAAACTCCTGAGAACTGGCAGGTTGACAGCCATAAATGGGGTACCAAACTTTCTACTCATTGGATTACAAGTTCTCAGGCATCCAGAATGATTAACAAAATGACAATTTCTAGGGCTTCTGTGGGAGAGTATGGAAAGGTCTTTTTGAACCTTTTAATGCTGTGAACGGAAGAATGATGAGGTTCATAAATTTGGAAAGGAGACATTTCTTCACTTTTATGCTTATTTTTATTTTTTTTTGAGACAGAGTTTCACTCTTGTTGCCCAGGCTGCAGTGCAATGGCATGATCTTGGTTCACTGCAACCTCCGCCTCCTGGGTTCAAGCGATTCTCCTGCCTCAGCCTCCTGATTAGCTGGGATTACAGATGCCCACCACCACACCTGGCTAATTTTTTGCAGTTTTGGTAGAGACAGGGTTTCATCATGTTGGCCAGGCTGGTCTGAAACTCCTGACCTCAGGTGATCCACCCACCTCGGCCTCCCAAAGTGCTGGGATTACAGGCATGAGCCACCCACCCAGTGAGAGATTTATTTTCTATAAAGGGTTGTAGCCTGCAGGGTTGTCCTTCTGACAGGCTGGGAAGCATAGCCTCCAGCCAGAAGCCAGAAACAGATGCTTCAAGGAGGAGGTAAAGGAAATAGCAACTTATGCTGAGTGGAATGGCCAATTAGATTTATTTAATAAGCTCTAGGAGGAGTCATGAATATTTATGGAAGGAGAAATGCATGCACGCACAATTGAGTTTCTTGCTTCTTCATGGGTCCCATGTACAAAAAATGGCAGTGTTAGCATGATCCCAGGGTGGAGTTTTCAGCCCTCTGACATTAAAAGGTGAAGCAGAGGACATGAAAACTTGCTCTGTGCATCCTCTGTACACTGGCCAGAACCTCTCCATCGTGGGTGGTCTCTTATCAGGCAAGAAAGGAGAGGTTGATATCAGTGGTGGAGGCTTTGAAAGGGCTGGTTTCTGTTAAATCCTTAGGGAAGAAAGCCTCATCATGGTTAGCAAAGGAGGGGGTATAACGATGTGTATCTTAACCCCATCATCCCATCCTAGCAAAGCTGAGAACTCAGTTTTGAAAGTTACTCTGGGGTCCCCTCAGCCAAGAGTGGGTCTGTTCAGTCAGTTGGGAGCTTAGAATTTAATTTTCATTTATCAATGCTAATGGGAAAGAGTACGCTGTCTTCATGGCAGCTGAATTTGCAAGAAACTCCTTGGATGGGGTTAATGGCAGCTGTATTTTTCTGGGAGCTGTGCTTTAATTGGATAAAGTAAGTTCTGGTAAGATTTCTTCATCTTCAGTATCTCAAATGTTTTCATTTAAATAATCTTTATAACAACTTTTGATGTCTGAGTGGATTCCCACACAGTCATCTATTGTAAGACTTTCTGATTCCTTTTTTTTCCTTTGGTCATTATGAATAGGGCTTCTGTAAATAACTGCATGGTAGCTTTTGATGGGAAATAACATCAAAGTAGTTGTCAAAATACCTAGGAATGTTATTTTTGGATTGTAAGGTGAGACTTGTTTAGCTTTGGAAAAAAATGCCCAACTTGTAATAGGGGAGGAAAAATAATTTTCTGTTTTTGGAATTCTTAGATGGAACGCTCTGTAAAAACTGACAGATTAAAATGAGAAAAAGAGAAAAGTTTAAAAACATGTATATCTTATGGTTACATGGGAGATACTCAGGGAAAAATGAGTAAATCTCCAACAGGTGGCTTTCAATTCAAGCATAAATACTATCTTCAACTTAAAGAAAGAAGATTTGAGGTGCAGTAGTGGGGAGTTAACCAGCAAAAGCACATTAGACAAGAGTAAGGTACGTTATACAGACTTAAGTCCATGCATTCTCCATTGATAAGACTCTTCAGTGATTTAGTTATCCTTCTCTTCTTGGTGTCGAGAGAGGTAGCTTTTAAATGGTGATTTCCTTTATAGATGTAAATTTTCCTTACACAAGTAACTTCTACTCTATTTTCACAACTTCCTTTGTTAGCATTTTTTTTTTTCAAAATAATTAGCTTGGAATAATTCTTAAGCCAAAGGGACATATTTTGGGGTTGCATATTCTGGTTTCCTACCATTATATTTTGGGGTGGCATAGTTTGGTCTTATACACTGTGTTCCACTGGCAATGAAAAGAGTTCTTGTTTTTCCTCCAGCAATTTGTCATTTGTTAAAGAGCTTAGCAGTTCTAAGAGATATAGACCAGCTGTGCTATCTTTTTGTGGTTTTCAGTTCTCTAGTATGTTGAGCATCTTTTTGTAAGTGTACTTGCCATCTGTAGATCTTCTTTGGTGAAGTGTCTGTTCAGATCTGTGTGCATTTTTAATTGGGTTGTTTAACTTATTGTTTAGTTTTAACAATTTTTTATATATTTTGAATACAAATTCTCAGATCTGTATTTTGCAAATATTTTCTTCAATATGTGGCTTGTCTTTTTGTTCTCTTGACAAGGTCTCTTCCAGAGTATAAACTGTAAATATTAAGAAATCCACATTGTCATTTCTTCTGTGTATATCAACCTTCTGTGTCATTTGTTAAAATTCATTACCAAACGCAAAGGCACACAGCTTTTCCTCTATAGTTTCTTCTAGAAATTGTATAGTTTTGCATTTTTAGTGTAAGGATGATTTTGAGTGATTATTTGTGTAAGTTGTAAAGTTTTCATCTACATGCATATCATTTCTTATGGTTTCCAATTAATCATTCCCTCACTATTTTTGGGAAAGACACAGGATAGTGGGCTCTGTTAGAGTAGATAGCTAGCTAGACATGAACAGGAGGGGGAGCTCCTGGAAAAGGGAAAGTCTGTGAAGGCTCACCTGGAGGGACCACCAAAAATGCACATATTAGTAGCATCTCTAGTGCTGGAGTGGATGGGCACTTGTCAATTGTGGTTAGGAGGGAGAAGAGGTACCTACGCAGAAACACCCTAGAACTTCTCTTAAGGTGCCCCAATCGGATGGGCGCGGTGGCTCACGCCTGTAATCCCAGCACTTTGGGAGGCCGAGGCGGGTGGATCATGAGGTCAGGAGATCGAGACCATCCTGGCTAACAAGGTGAAACCCCGTCTCTACTAAAAATACAAAAAATTAGCCGGGCGCGGTGGCGGGCGCCTGTAGTCCCAGCTCTTCGGGAGGCTGAGGCAGGAGAATGGCGTGAACCCGGGAAGTGGAGCTTGCATTGAGCCGAGATTGCGCCACTGCAGTCCGCAGTCCGGCCTGGGCGACAGAGCGAGACTCCGTCTCAAAAAAAAAAAAAAAAAAAAGATGCCCCAATCATCATTCACTCTGCAATAAAAATGTCAGAATATTGCTAGCTACATGCTGATAAGAAGGACAAAGGGGACATTTTTAAGAGAAACCTGGCACCATAAGTACAGATTAGGGCAGAGAAAGACATTCAAAAGAGGCAGCTGCAGTAGATACAAACGTGACTGCTGTCAGCCTGCCTGGTATGGCGGGAAGGAGGCTGGTGCCAGAGTGGATTCGGATTGATCACCACACATGTACCTCAATCAACAGTGAGGAGGTCCCACAAGGCTAAGTGGGGCAAGTCGGGGACCTATGGCAGTAGCAGGAAAACGAAAGAAAACAGGCGGAGACTTGAGACAGAGGCAGGAATGTGAAGAAGTCCAAAATAAAAATCCCTGCACAGGACTCTTAGGCTGTTTTCATGCACTATCAGCCTACTCCTCCCTATTTTTGTACTATAAGCTCTTTACTCTGTATTTCTTTTCAATGAAGTTATCTTCCATCTTTGTACTGCCTCTTGGTGAAAAGCTGTCTTCCAAGTTAATAACTGGGACATCAGCTCTCCGCAGTAATAGCTCCTTTTCAGTTTTAATTTACAGAACTGATGGGGATTAATAACTGGCGCTCTGACTTTAAGTGGTGCAGGAGGTGGCCAGTAGGGGACGGCAGCCGTCACACCGGGAGCAAGAGGGCCCTGCGTAGTCCCCATGTGCCTGCATGTGGCGTGCAGCCACGACAATGCCAGCAAGAGGGCCCGGCACTGTGCCCAGCTGCCAGCAGGCGGGTGTGCTGCCACTACAATGTGAGGAAGAGGGCTCTGCAATGTCCCTAGCTGCCAGCAGGCGGCGTGCCACCACTATACTGCGAGCAAGAGAGCCCTGCCGTGCCCCGGCGCTAGCAGGGGGCGGTGGACACCACTGTAAACAAGAGGGCCCTGCAGTTGTCCTAGTCGCCAGTAGGGGGCGCAATGGCAGAGCACCGTGGGCAAGCTGGTCCTGTAGTGCCCGGCTGCAAGCAGGGGGCGCCCAAAACGGGCTTTTCAGATTACTCAGGTTCCACTCGTCTCTGCGCCGCCGGGGACGTGTGTCTCTGCGCGTGCACCGCGCCACCCCCGCGCTCCCCGCCCGGCGGCGCGCGACTGTGCGACTGCAACACTCCCCGCCACCCTCAGCCGAGCGACGTGCGTCTCTGCGCCTGCGCCGCGCCTCACTCCCGCCCGCCCAGCGACCCCTCCCCTCCGGGGAGGCGCCGGCGTGCGTCTATGCCCTGTGCCGCGTCTCCCCAACAGCGCCGCGCCTCTCTGCGCCTGCGCCGGCGCGCCGCGCCTCTCTGCGCCTGCGCCGGCGCGCCGCGCCTCTCTGCGCCTGCGCCGGCGCGCCGCGCCTCTCTGCGCCTGCGCCGGCGCGCCGCGCCTCTCTGCGCCTGCGGCGGCGCGCCGCGCCTCTCTGCGCCTGCGCCGGCGCGCCGCGCCTCTCTGCGCCTGCGCCGGCGCGCCGCGCCTCTCTGCGCCTGCGCCGGCGCGCCGCGCCTCTCTGCGCCTGCGCCGGCGCGCCGCGCCTCTCTGCGCCTGCGCCGGCGCGCCGCGCCTCTCTGCGCCTGCGCCGGCGCGCCGCGCCTCTCTGCGCCTGCGCCGGCGCGCCGCGCCTCTCTGCGCCTGCGCCGGCGCGCCGCGCCTCTCTGCGCCTGCGCCGGCGCGCCGCGCCTCTCTGCGCCTGCGCCGGCGCGCCGCGCCTCTCTGCGCCTCCGCCGGCGCGCCGCGCCTCTCTGCGCCTCCGCCGGCGCGCCGCCTTTGCGAGGGCGGAGTTGCGTTCTCTTTAGCACACACCCGGAGAGCATCGCCAGGGCGGAGCTGCGTTCTTCTCTGCACAGACTTCGGGGGTATTGCGAAGGCGGAGCAGAGTTCTTCTCAGGTCAGACCTGGGCGGGCGGGCTGAGGGCACTGCGAGGGCGGAGCTGTGTTCTGTTCAGCACAGACCTGGGGGGTACCGTAAAGGCGGAGCAGCATTCTTCTCAGCACAGACGTTGGGGGTACTGCATGGCTTTGGGACAACTCGGGGCTGCATCGACGGTGAATAAAATCTTTCCCGGTTGCTGCCCTGAATAATCAAGGTCACAGACCAGTTAGAATGGTTTAGTGTGGAAAGCGGGAAACGAAAAGCCTCTCTGAATCCTGCGCACCGAGATTCTCCCAAGGCAAGGCGAGGGGCTGTATTGCACGGTTCAACTGCAGCGTCGCAACTCAAATGCAGCATTCCTAATGCACACATGACACCCAAAATATAACAGACATATTACTCATGGAGGGTGAGGGTGAGGGTGAGGGTGAGGGTTAGGGGTTAGGGTTAGGGTTAGGGTTAGGGTTAGGGTTAGGGTTAGGGTTAGGGTTAGGGTTAGGGTTAGGGTTAGGGTTAGGGTTGGGTTAGGGTTAGGGTTAGGGTTAGGG